>NC_000005.10:23944184-24247214 GCF_000001405.40 Homo sapiens | reverse complement strand
TTGAGAGTTTGAAATCTGAAATTTTCCCAGTGGTCCAAAAGTAGGATAATGGTCCTCTTGCTTAGGTATCTGGACAAAAAAAAATTTCTTTGATAACCAAAATATGGAAAAAATATGGAAAAAAACAAAATATGGAAAAAAATCTATGATCATAATCCAAATCTTCATAAGGCAGTACACATCGTTTTATATTTCACTCACTCTTTTTTATGTACTATCTCTATATCTAAGCAATTGGGCTTCTTATATGCTGCTCCATAGAGCTTTGGATATAAAAGTTTGTAAGTAAATGATCTAGTATGTCTTGAAGTCAGGTGACTTTGTAAAGCAAAAATTATTGGCAACAAAATAAACCCAGTAGTTATATATCACTGTGCACATGTTAATCCATTTTACTAATTACTTTCACTTGCATCAAGTAATTCTAGGAAATATAACAGCTTATTCAGAGAAAAATCTTAATAGAGACGGTTTTGAGAAAACACTACTTTCCCTTCTTACCCTTATCTCTATGTCCCGCATAGATAAGTCATTATGAATAAGATCTTTCACTACAGCTTGTAAAAGGGTAACGTTTTATTACTTTTAAAAAAGTTAATAGTTTATATCTTCAGTTAGGTCATCAACTAAGTGCTTGCTGTTAGAAAAAGAAAAAAATGTTCATAAATATCTTTCTAATTTTTATCTAATACATTTTAAACTATACTCAGAAACAGCATTTTTGAGTTAGATGAGGTGGACCGAGGTCCAGAGCTGCCACTTATTGAATTTATGGTCTCTGTCAGATCACAGGACTGAACTATTTTCCTCATCTTAAAATAAATATAATATAGGGCCTAATTCAATTCTTATTATGAGAATTTAACAGGATTTTATGAATGTGTGCACAGGCGCATGTAGATGTGTGTATTACTTATAATCATATCTAGTAATAAATTCTTAATAAACATAATAATTGGTATAATTATTATGATCAGTAAGAGTATTAGCCTATCAGAATCTTAAATTTATCCTTACCAATAATGTGTAAGAAAAAGTAAAACTAGCATGTAGATCCCATTAATTTTAAATTTCTTTTATAGAGTACTTTCTTGCAGTTGCAATATTTTTTTCTAGTTATGAGTCACTTCCCATTAGAAAGGTTAAAGCTTAAGAGGTAGCTTAATTGTCTCAGGCCATAGAGGTAACATTTATACCCCTATGCGGTTATTGTTAATGATGTTCTGTTAACTCAAATATTTCAAAGCAACTTGTAAACATATATTTTCAAGGAATATCTCACATACCAGAAGGATGAGACTAATCTTATATTTCTTTCATTTACTACTAGTACTTTTTGAAACTGAAGTCAACCTTTAAAGAAGGCAATTAAGTTATGAGTACAAAGGAATGTACACTGCTCAGAGATCCCTAAAGTACTTAAGCATAATGAGGAAATTTGGTGATGATGGAGAATTTCACTCATTTATCAATTACTCCAATGGCCATTCTAATTATTTGGATGCACCGATTTAAATTATAATGAAAAAAATTCATAACATCAAATCCAGTGGCAATGTGATTTCACTCTGTACCAAGCAGTCTATCATAATAAAGCTGATATTCTGTTTTCATGGAAAGTACTATTTCAAATTATTTTTGATTGCATATCATACCTAGTATTCTGAATTATTAAACTACTAATATATGCACACAGAGAAGAAGGTTTATGAAGCACATCAACGTGGGTGGATAATAAATGTTGCAGTATTTTTTATTGTGATTAAATAATCATTGGCCCAGGAATCAGTATACTGATATTTTAAAATCACAAGTTACAGAAAATAAAATGTCCAATGTGTTATGCACCGTCAGTACAATAACATGAAGTAATATACTAATATCAGTCCCATACAAATGATTCCTGTCAAAACCACACCCTGTTAGCCTTCTCTGTCCTGATTACCTATCGGGTCTCCCTGCTTCTGAACTTGTTATTCTACCCCTATCTCTCAGCTGCTAGTTATCTTTTCAAAATATAAGATAAATCATAACATTTAGCTTTCAGAACCATCCAGTAGCTTTTTGTAACTCTCCAAAATCAAAATCAAGTCTTTAATATAGTTTTGAAGACACTGCATGACTGAGTTTTCCTCCCTCCACCTCTCTAACTGCATTTCCTGCTATTGTTCTTGAATATCCTCAATCTTCTTGCTCTTCCTGACTCCAAATACGAGATGGTTCAATAGATCAGTTCTTCCAGGTTCCTGGTCACATAACACTATATTTGAAAGATCTTCCTTGATCACTTTATAAAAACTAACAGTCTACCTTGCACAGTTTATCTCTCTTATCATTTCTATTTTTTAACCTTAACACATTATTTGGCATTCACCGCAGTGCTTACTTCATTCGTTTTACCTGTCTTAATCCATGGAGCAGGAAGACAGGGCTGTCCATGAACAGAATGTTATGTAGAATGTCAGTGACTATTTGACAAACAGATGAATGAGGTTTAGGTACTGTTCATCAAGTTATTTTTAAAGAATAACGGGTAGCACCATATTTTTCACTTAAAGATTATATTAAATGTTATAGAGATTACTTATTGACTACTTTTAATTTCTCATTTCAAAATGCCTTAGGTGCACAGCATAATGCACAACTAGTATTAAAAAGTCAATAATGCGTGGAGTCCCTGTGGATATCAAAATGTCTCATCAATTCAAAGAGAAATTTAATCTATCATGGTGGGGTTTATTTGAAAATGCAGATGAAAAATCAAAAACACTTCTTAACATTTTAAATGTAGCCAAAGACTGCTTATAACACTTTATTTTATGGTACTATAAATTTTATCTACAAAGCATACAATAAGTAGAATGTACCATTTATCCATACGAAATACTGATAAAATACTAATGCTATTATATTTTCTAAAAAATAAGAGAATTGTAGCCATTGAAACTCAGTGATAAAAAGCTTGTAGTTTTATATGGGAAATAAAGCACTTTTAGTATAGTGCGTTAATGTGAAAGTAGACCAGGCTAAATTTAGTTTAAGAGTGTACCTCTGGAATTATATTTCATTTCATATGATCTTGTAGGATGTTAATTATTATATTCTTTTGACAAGTATTTATTTTGAACAAATACTTTTCTAAGCATTAAAGATGTAACTGGGATGAAAACTGTCAATGACCCAGCTCATATCATAATATGCTAGATTTCGGAGATATAGACCAGGCAATTCCTATATAAAATGCTGTGAATAATTGTTTATACTAAAATTTAAAAGTACAAGGTAAGAGATTAATACAGAGGCATGAACAGGATATGGTCCAGATTTAGTTGGTTTGGAGGTATTTAGTTTGTGGGAAGGGGAAGAGCAACAAGCATTTTGGCCAGAGGTCTTGTTTTGACCAAAATAGAACCTTCTTGGGAGTTTTTGAGCAAAAAGAAAAAAAAAGCAAAAAAAAAAAAAAAAAAAAAATATATATATATATATATTATATATATATATATATATATATATATCACTAGAAGGAATCACAGTAGCTGCTGAGTACAGTATAATTTGCCAGAGTATGTAGATCACTTTAAAAGGCACAGAAATAATTCACGGGAGCAATCATGTCATTCTGAACTAAAGAGGTACTGATGGAGTTACTGAGAAATTGAACATTTCTGAATATGCATTGGATTTGCTGATTATTTGGGTGTGGGATGTGAGGGAAAGACAAGTGTCAAGCATAACACCATGCTTATTTGGCCTAACAGAGAGGAAAAAATAGAGCTCTAAAACAATGAGTTTGGGTAGACTTAGTAATAAACAAATTGAGTGGTGATAAGATAGTTTCTTTGATAAGTTGACTGAACTAGGCTACTATCACCAGTTATTCAAGTAAACACTAATTAGATGTGATGTGATTGACGTCCACAATCAGTTGACTTTAAGGAAGGGAAAATATCCTAGATAAACTGGGTGAGCCTGAATCTATTATTTGTAAGGTCTTAAAAAAGCAGAACTAAATCTTTCCTGAGTTCAAAGAAATTCTATCTGTGGACAACCACTTCAGCTCAGGCTCTGGAATTCCAACCTACTTTTCCAGCTTTCTCTGATATTTGGAAATTAACTAGCCAGTCCCCAAAATCATGAGAGCCAGTACCTTCAATATATCTGTAATTCATATATTTTTATTTCTTCTTCTCCTGTTGAATTCTGACTAACGAAACTGGGTAGTACTTTTTTTTGTTTTCTTGAGCTATCTGTGAATTTCACAAAGGGAGATGTCAGACAAATATATGAAAACAGAATCGGAATGCCATAGGAGATCTGTGTATTAGAGAATTACATGTTGGAGTTATTGGCTTATAGATCGCTGGGGCAGACAAAAAAAGATCCCCCAGAAGATATTCACATGAAATCCCTGGAAACTGAATGTTACCTTACTTGGAAAAAGGGTCCTTGCAGATGTAATTAAGTTTAGAATCTTGAGATAAAGAGATGATCACCATAGGTTATTGTCATGGTCTGAATATTTGTGTCTCCTCAAAATTTATATGTTAAAACTTAACCCACAAGGTAGTGGTATTAAGAGGTGGGTCCCTTGGGCAGTTATTAGATTAGATGGCAGAACCCATTTAATCCAAAATGGGATTAGTGCTTTTATCAAAGAGGCTAGAGGAAACTGGTTTGCCCCTTCTACCATGTGAGGACACACTGAGAAGTTTCTGGTCTTTGACCCAGAAGAAGGCCCTCATCAAAACTTGACCATTCTGGCACCCTGATCTTGGACTTCCCAGTCTCCAGAATTGTGAAAAATACATTTCTGTTGTTTATAAGCCACCTAGTTTATGGCATTTTGCTGTAGCAGCTCAAGTGGATTATTACAATTATTGAGGTAATCCCAAAATTCAATGACAATTGTTCTTCTAAGAGACACACAGAAGAAAACAGACACACAAAGAAAGAGATGATGGGACTAGGCGATGTGACTACAGAGTCAGGGAGTTGCAGTCATGTAGCCCAAGGCCACAAGTTGAGGAATGAAGACAGTTGGCAGAAGCTAGAAGAGACAAGAAATGGATTCTCCTTTCGGGTATGCAGATGGCGTGGAGCCCTCCCAACTCCCGCCTCAGCCTTCAAATTTATGAAAAAGGGTTCCAGAACTATAAGAAAACACATTTCTATTGCTTTAAGCTGCTCATTTTTGTGGTAATTTGTTAAAGCACTCTCAGAAAGGTAATACAATCATATTTAAAGCCACAGGACTGAAGAAGACAAATTTGGAGGTGGGTACAGACAGAAACAAGAGTTCTAAGAAGTGACTCCTAGGGCACTCCAAAATTAAGAAATTGGAAAAATGAAGCAAATCTCATGAAGGTGTGTGAGAGGGACTGTCCAAAACAGTATAAGAACCAAAGAGATTACTATTTTAGCATCCTGGAAAAATACGCATCCTAAGGTAAATCAGTGGTCAGTGTGTCAAGTTCAGGTAGGCTAAAAGAGATGAATACTGCAAATTGACATTTATATATTTGGTATTGTCATCAATAACCTCTATAATACAAGTTTTAATCTTGTGTGACAGTTAACGGCTAATTTCTATACTCAACAGAGAATTGCAGGAATGAAAAGAAATACATTGAGTAAAGATATCTTTTTTTTTTGAGATGGAGTCTCGCTCTGTTGCCCATGCTGGAGTGCAGTGGCACGATCTCGGCTCACTGCAACCTCCGCCTCCCAGGTTCAAGCCATTCTCCTGCCTGAGCCTCCTGAGTAGCTGGGACTACAGGCTTGTGCCACCATACCTGACTAATTTTTTGTATTTTTAGTAGAGACAGGGTTTCACCGTGTTAGACAAGATGGTCTGGATCTCCTGACCTCGTGATCTGCCCACCTCAGCCTCCCAAAGCGCTGGGATTACAGGCATGAGCCGCCACGCCCAGGCCAAAGATATCTCTTTGTGGCATTTTTGCTTTAAAGAGAAGCTGAGGAAGATCGTGGTAGCTGGGCAGAACAGTGAGGTCAAGGACATGACTGTGTGTGGTATACGTGCATGTGTATGTGTATGTGTGTTTTTGTGCGTGTAATCGCATATAATACATTCTATTGGCTGCAACCAATATAATGAGCTGCAACCATTACAGAGAAAGTTATAAAATAATAATCAACGACCGCAAAACAATGAAAATCTACTC
Organism: Homo sapiens; assembly: GCF_000001405.40. Classification (NCBI taxonomy): domain Eukaryota; kingdom Metazoa; phylum Chordata; class Mammalia; order Primates; family Hominidae; genus Homo; species Homo sapiens. The sequence continues at coordinate 24,241,032 of NC_000005.10, read as the reverse complement.
TGAATGTGTTATTAGAATTGATTTATTTAGACCCTATGGAAAGAAGAAGATCCTATTTGAAAGAGATACAAGAAAGTAGACTTTAAAAACAGGGGCTTCTGGAACTTCTCTGACTCACCTTATCATATAAAACAGTTCTTCTTTCTGAGAAGAGTAAATGAATTTGCTTCTTTAATTTTGTAACCGAACAAGCTAAGTATTGTCTCCAGTTTTGTCTTCAAATGTACAGTTTAACCGGTTTTTTTTTCTAAGGCACGTGGTTTGTTGATTAACTATGGATTATTGACAAACAAATGAGATTGTAACAAGGGCGACTAGTATTGTCCACTTTGTTTCTATAATAGAAGCTTGCTTTTTTGGTCATTCATCAGGCTAATTTTTTTTTCTGTTTCATCTTATTTGCCAATTGATTTTAGCAACTTTCATTGAGAACTGACTTTTTTTTTAAAACTAGGCTTAATGTTTATTATAAAAAGAATAATGAGGTGAATTTTAGTACACTAAGAAAGACTGGTAAAAAGTCCTTCCTACAAAAGTTCTTCATTTAAAATAATCTCAAGCTTTTTTTTATGTTTTACCCCCACAGGTTTTTATGCTCTGTAAATGTGGTTTTAAGAATTTTTCATGTTTGTCTCTCCCTTCCTCCCTTCCTTCCTTCCCTCCTTCAAATCTCTCCCCTTTTTCCTTCTTCCCACGTCTTCCTCTCTTTCTTTATTCCTTTATCTCAGTAATTTGGGGCAAACAGAGAATATGCAAAAATATTTTGTCTCACAACTAGATTCCTTGAAAAAAACAAAGAAAATTTTTCAAAGAAGAGCATTTATTGATTTCTTATTGTATATTCCTTTTGGAAGTGGTAATGATTGACAATGTCAATATCTAATTGTGCATTTTCTTGCACTATTAAACACTGAGAGCAAGGTTTTTACTTTGTTTACTCTTTAAATATTAAAACATAGCCTGCATATCTGTTTCAGACACAAAATGTCATAAGATTCTTCTAAAAACAGTTTGCACCTCTTTCCTTTCCTTGTTTCCATATGCGTCTGTTCTCCCTGGTGATGGTGTCCGTGTGGTCAGAGTCTCTCAGTTCTAAGCTTAGAACCACTTGTGGCAGTTTATCAATCCTGTCTCTTTGCAGAACAAGAAAGTCCTGACACATGGCCAATATCCAGAGAGCTCTTTGGCTTGAAATCTAGATTATTCAAGTATTTCCTGGAATTGATTTAATGTATCATAATGGTCTTACCCAGGGCCAAAAGCTAGATAACAATTCTGTGGGCAGCAGCAGCTTCTTAATTCATAGATGTTTTAGCTGTCTTCGTGAGAGAAAAGGTACAATTCTGAGGCAGGATATAAAAACATAGCATCTGAATCAAAGATGGGGCTAAGAAAGTGATTCTTATTTGAATGCTAAGAAACCAGGCACATAGATCATGGCCGCTAAGGGATGGAAAAATGTGGAGCTTTCCTAGTGCTGGAAATAAACTGGTTGTTCCCACATGGCATACAAAAAAAGTCAGAAGACAGGAAAACATCCTAGCAAGAAAGCCTCATGTCTTATTCTTTATCCTTTTGTCTAAGTGGAGGTTTTACTTGAAGCATATGGATTTTCCTTATGTTTATGTTCCTGTTTAAATTCTGCATAATAGTGTGAATAGTGTGACTATACTGAGCCCACACCCTGACAAGACCATGGCTGAACACAAGAATATGAAGGAGAGTTTGTGGCCTCTTCTCCAAAACATTGCATTTAGATCCAGCCAGTAGACATAGCTATATTTTTATTTGTCTCTTTTTTAAAGGAGAGTCTTTGCATTTGATGTTTTACTGTGATTAGTTTATCATGTATTATATATAATTAGAACTTAGTGTGCAAGGCAAAGTGATGGAATTGGGTTGACACGCATATTCAAACAATGTTCTAGTACAATTATCCACCTTTAATTTGATCATAAAGATTTAAATCATGTAGTAAACGGTTTAAAGGAAATTCATCCATAGGCTTGGATCAGTCAAGCAGATTTTCTTTTTAAATAATTTGTACTGAGTTAGAGGTCTTGTCATCTGATGTTTCTCACAGGCTATGGGCGTTAAAATCACTTTGAGAGCTTGATAAGATTGTGCATTTCTATAATTTAACTCAGATTTATTAAATCAAAATCTCTTGGAGTTTGGGCTATAATTTTGCACTGTAACAAGTTTCAATATTATACTTAGGCACCCCAACGTGTGAGAGCCTTGGCTACAGGCATTTTGTCTACAATAGATTAAGCCATAGTCATAGGAAGGGTGATATTCTGGGAAAGAACTGAAAGTAAACAGAAAAGCAAATGTACAGAGAAAAATATGAAGCAAGTACAGAATTAAAAAAACAAGAAAGTGGGAGAAAGGGGAAGGCATTTCTCCAGTAAAAGAAGACAATCAAAGAAAATGAAACAAACCCAAGGAAATACTTTCCTTTTTTGAGAGTTCTAGCAACATCTCCACTGCAGCCTGATTATGCCTTCCTTCTTTGTTGAATCATAGTAACAGATAATATTTATTGAATAATTTCTAAAGGCCAATCATTACTCAAAATCTTAATATTCATAACCTACTGACTCTCTAGAACAAATTTTTGATGTAGGCTACTTTAAAAATGAGGAGACACAGAGTGAATAGTTTGTGATTGCATAGCTAGGCACTTGCATATCTGCAGAAGCAATATTTATGAGATAAATACCCATCTTATTTAGAAATATCCTTATTTTATTTTTGGTTTTCCCAACATCTTGCTCCTCGAAAATGTTTCCAGTCTTTTTTTGCACCTCTCTTAGGTGCTGTGTATATCAAGAGATGAAGCAAATGTCTGCAGAAAACGACATAACCCTTCTTTTTTCATTTTAAGGCTTCATCTGCTCAGAATAAAGGAAATCTTTCAGGGATATTGTCAGTGCTGACCCAAGCATCATTATTTGATATGCCTCAAAAACTTATCAGTGACCTATAATTTACCTTTAGTTTTCCTGAATAATCCTGAAACCTATAACATCCATACATACATTCTGCTGAACCGAATAGTAGTCCCTGATTTCCTTATACTTGTGTTGTTCTCTGAACGGTTCTGTTAATTTTTAAGAATAAAATTCACCCTTAGAAGTACTACAGTTTCCTTCAGTCACCTAATTTACATCATGGGGCTGGGGGATATCTCTTACTGAGATTCAGGTACTTCTTCCATTCGAATATGATATTTAAGCCACACACAGTCTACATTTTTTTCAGTTCTAGCCACACCCATTTTATTTTACTTAGACCTGCTTCATATTTATTGAAAGAGTCCCTGCTATTTTAAATGAGGTTTTAGGAAAAAAAAAAAAAACAAACAAAGCAGACAAGCAAAATATTGGCTATTTTCATATATATGCTAGATATTTGTTTATAGGCTATATTTTGTGTAAGTAACATTACACTAAAGGGGCTGAGAGTAGAATGTTCTCTGTTGTTTCTTTTCAGCACCTTTTCTTAAAAAAATCACATTTCCTTTTTGGAAGAGAGATGGAATCTAACCTCATATTTTTTAAAACAATTAAATTTTTATTATAAAATGATTCTCTATAACATTTGAACACTGTGATGGGAGAAGATTACTTGAATTAAGTGCATAGAAATATCAGGAAGGAAAATCAGCCTGATATATGGCTAACCCATACTCAAAGTGTTGGATACATGAGTTTCTGTTATATTATTTTATTTCTTTGTATGTTTGAAATAATTTACAAATGAAATTGACACAACTTTGAAAAAGTAGGTTATAAAAATATAAATGAGGGCAGAATTTTGTTGTAAGGAAGGGTGGGTAAAGATCTGCAAAAATTCTAAAATGTTTTACAGATTAGAAAGAAAGAGCAAGCAGCAATACATTCTTTTAATGGATGGTCAGAAAGTAAATAGAGGCTATACGCATTCTAAATCAACTGAAAACATTGCTAAATATAATTAAAAAGAAAAACATAGCCCCAAATCCCTTGAGTTCATGCCAAATTTCATAGCATAAAAGTAAATTGGACATAGAAAATAAAAGAAATATATACATACTTCCCAGAAAGAAAATCAGAAGGTTAAAACAGGCCATAACCAGAACACTGTTGGTTAAAAGAGTTATTGAGTAGGTGTATATATCTTCTTCTATGTTGACCACATACATTTAAATTTCTAAATAGACCGTTCCCTGTAATCCATTCAGAAATACATTTCTTGCTGTTTTTACCTCCCATAGATACTATTTTGTAGTGAAAGTGGTCCTTAGGAGACTATGAATAATTGAAAAGGAAAGATAAGGCATACAATAAAAAAGAAAAGCAGGCCAATGTTCAGAAATAATTTTTGTACAATGCAGAATAAGAAACACTTGAATGCACTTGTGATGTTCCATTTGTATTAATATCTTAGAGCAAGAGTTTTCCATTTTTTTATAGCCTTTAAACCATCTCTTCAAACACAGTCTTACCTAGAAGCATAAACAAATAAAAAATACAAAATCAGGACAATGCTATTCAAAAGACACCTTGTGGGACTGAGGTATAGTAGATACTGCCCATTTACACACAGACACATACACACAGACACACACACACACACACACACACACACACACACCACAAAGAGGTCTAAAGAGGTACAAAGATGTCTAGTTTGTTTATCACTGTCATTACATTTTTTAAACATTTCATTTTAAATTGTTATGTATCTCAATGCTTATAAACATAGAGAAAAAATTATTTAACATGGTCCTGTCACAGTAAAAATAGAGGAAATATAAATAGGAACTGAAACAATTTACAGAGAGGAAGTAGACGCTAAGTGTTATGGAATGAATATTTTGTCCCTCCCTAATTCATATTTGGAAATCCAATTCCCAGCGTGATGGCATTTGGAGGTGGGGCTTCAGGAGGTAATTAGGTCATGAGGATGAAGCTCTCATCAATGGGACTAATGTCCTTAAGAGAAGAGGCAAAAGAGCTAGGTCACTCTTTTCCACCATGTTAGGATAAAGTGAGAAATTGTCAGTCTGCAACCTAGAAGAAGGCCCTTACTAGAACCAGACCATGCTGGCACCCTGATCTCAGACTTTCAGCCCATGGCACTATGAGAAATATATTTCTGTTGTTTATAAGCCACTCTATCTATGGTACTTTGTTATAGTAGCCTGAAATGACTAAGACACTAAGTATACAATACATGCAAGAAATCAACTCACATGTTAAAGCATCAGGATATCCAATATGAGGCATTAACCAAGAGTGCCGCTCAAAAGATCATGTTTTTAAGATTTTTATTTAAATATTGTATAACACCTGGCCATAAGCGTAGGATGTAGAGCGTTATATCATGCATTTCTGCCAACAAGTCCATTTAAGTTTGTAAATTGTGTTTAAGAATAGAGCCAAATTCTAATTAGATCTGCTATATAGATTAGTTGTCCTCACACAACTTTGTGAGTATAAATTTAGTTCATGAATTCCAAGAGTTATATTTTGTATATGTGTCACTTGTCTCAATATTAAATCCAGTGACTAAAAGCATACATATCAATGTAATTTTTTATGCAAAGTATCCAGTGTAAGATAGTTTGGTAAGGGATCACACAATTAATTAGTTATATAGGGACTGAATTAATTAATGCAACCACTTCCTGTAACATTCCTATGTTGAAAATAGTTTTTAGAAATTTTTTGTTGTTTAAAAAGCTGTGAGCATTTAGTATCATAAAAAAGCATAGAAACAATAAAAGAAAACATTTTGCAAAAGAAAAAAGTTGACAGGATAAAGAGATTTTTTTCCAAATAATGTCTTTTTTTGTGAACAATTTTAACCATTGGAAACAGTATCATGCTCAAAAGAATCATCCTTTTATATTCTAACATTAAAAAGTAATATATATGTTATATATATGTAAGTTATATATATACACATGTATGTGTGTGTGTATATATATATATACACTTCCATGCATATATATATATATATACACACTTCCATGCATATATATACACACACTTCCATGCATATATATATATGTATACACACATATACACCTCCAAGAACTTTTAATTTCCAAATTCTAGAAAAGGCAGAGCAACAGCAAATTAGTTCAACAAAGACCTTATCAAAGAACACACAAAAACCAAATTCTATTTCCAGCAGCATTGACTATTTACCTAAATTACAATCATCAGAAAAACCAGCTGCAACTCTGCTCCTTAGATTTTTGCTCCAGGCAACTTAAATCTTAGAATTACTTCTGGTAAACGGATCTAGGAAAATGAAATGAGATATCTAATTGTTGAATTAAGCTCCAGAAAAAAAATGAAGTCATTTGGTAAGAGGGTATCTCCCACTAAAAGCTTATAATATCTAAATTTTAAAAGAATAACATCCATAAATCTTCTATGTATTTTCTTGTTTTATTTAATCATGTTGCTTGTTTGTTTCATTATGCTGCCCTGTGTTTATTGGGGCCTAGTATGCCTCCTCTCCTACCCCTGTTTCAGTCTTCCCCAGCTTAAGAATTTTCAAGGGTCTGCAAAATTTATTACAGAGCAAAGTCACTGGAGAAGCTTGTCAAAGATCCAAACTCCCAAGGCCTAATCCAAAGGGTCTAATTTAGCAGCTCTCCAGGCAAACCCAGGAAAGCTATTTTAATTGTAACAACCATAGCAACAAAACCAAAATTATTCCAAATGATTCTGATAAAGATAGTCTACTGGGCAACCTTTGGAGTCTCTGTCTTGTTTTTTCCAGGGATAATTTTACTTTTTATAAAAGAAATATAGTAATGCGTTTAAAAACTCAGGTAGCAAATAAGGGAGAATATAATTAATTAAGACTTTTCTATCTCCACATTTCTCCACCTGAATTTCCTCTCCCCATAAATAACTAATTTTAACTCTTGGTTTCTCTCTCAGATTTTCTGGTGGGTTCCTCTATCTACAAAATGATGTGTCTATACTTACTTTTTTCTTTTTATCTGTATCAATTCTCCTATGATTACTAAGGGTATAGCACACTCGAATTGCCAAACTTCTTCACTCTCATTTAAAATATTACTAATTTAGACCTCTATATTATAACCTTAACTCAATATTTAAAAGTAGTTAAACATTGTTCTGTACAAAAATTTTTATGCAGATTTTAGATCACTCTCATTTGTTTTGTTTTTGTTTCTACGTTGATTTGCAGGGGATTTGAAAAGCTATGCTCAAATTTCCATTATTTCATTTGCTTTGGAGGGCATGACTTTTTAAACAGAGGCAGTAAGCATTGCTAGTGACAGTCTTGGTAAAAGCACATAGGGGTTCTTCCTAACTCCTTACAAAATTACCAGAAGCAGTTATAAGACTGTGTGCATGATCCCTTACTAAACTTCGAGTGAAGTGGAATAGGTCTGATGTATTATAGATACTATGTGTCCCATTTATCTATGTTAACTGGCTAAATCTTTTGTGCCAGTATAGTACATAATTAACATGTCAGTATAAAACTGTTCACTACTTGGAAGAATAAATTCAAATTCCATTAAATAAGGATCATCACCACTTTAATGGTCTGCATGTTGCATTTTAATAGCCATATAAGTAACCAGAAAATTAAATAGGTCTTTTAACTAATATGTATTTTCACATTTGAGTGTACTCCTGGCATAAGATAACTGGGATGGCTGCAACTGATCAGGTTCCATTAATGTGAGATTGCTTGTGAAGTAGTACATTTTCTAATATCTCCTGTGGAAATGTTATGCAAATTATTTGTAAATGTGAAATCCTCAAGAGCAAAGCTACATTAACTGTTCCTATTGCAAAGGTATGCTCAATAATTTACAACCCATCAATGGAGGAATCGGAAATAAATTGTTTCGCTGCAGTTCCAAAACGCAGTAGAAATGTAAACAGCACCATCTTCTGGATTATATGAATTCTCATAATTGTTTCATAGGCTACTATACACTTGTTCAACGTTACATGTGTTCACTATATATTGTGGTTTTTAACTGTTAATTTTAAACATGACAATTAGATATAGACACAAACTCAACAATGTATGGACAAAATCTAAGCAGTTTTGTATACATTCATATAAGTACAGAATTATAACCCAAGTATAGTTGAGAATACAGTAAATAAAAATGTATTTTTAATCTTCATTAACTTCACTTTTATGGTCATTGTCAATTTATGAAGCATCTGATATGGGAAAAAAGCACTTAATAACTCAAACATTTCCTGGGGAAAGTAAAACAGAAAAATAGATAATCAATATATACACTCAATACTCTTATCCTAAAATGCAACTTCAGATAAATTATTGAAACTCTAATAACTGGGAGAAAGTTATTTGATCATTTCCCTAGCTCACTGATAATTAGCCTTAAGTTGATAAAAGTACTCAAGAATAAAAGTGCCTGCTAATAGTGTTATATTTTCTACTGAAGTGTAATTCTAATAATTTAATTTTACAATTTGCCAGTACAAGGACAATATTTGTGATGCCTTTATTTTTTTAGCTTACTGAGAATTTGAAAAGCGAGCACCATTACGAGAAAAAACAGAGATACAAGGATTAGAAAGACAGATAACACCAGAGTATAATTAGTAAACTATTTTACATGTATATACTCTGTCATTCATACCACAATAGCTCTTTGACTTTCTTCTGTGTTCTGTGGCTGAACCTTGTACTTTCTGCAAGCCGTTAATGTCTCTTGTCATCAGTTTATTTTCTTTTCAGTGCAGTTAGACCTGCCCTTTAAATACCACCTCCTTAGTCATCTCAATGAGATGTGAGTCCCTTCATCTATCTCAATCAAAAAAAAGCAAACCTTAGGCCAACCTAACCCTCTAGGCTGAATAATATAGGTTCAAATCATGCAAACCCCTGATAGATCCCACAAGGTCTCAAATACTGCCTTTCAATTCCCCTCCCTTCACCAATATTTAGTTTATCTCCTGTTTGTTACTGCAGATAACTCAAAACTACTCAATTAGATTTAAAGTTGTTTATGCTTCTTGCTTCCCCTTCACTTTGAGCAATACATTTATTTTGTAGAAAAATGTAAAACACCAGGTGTAAATTCCCTCAATATATTGCAATACTAAATACAAATTACCTACACCTGCGCCCATTATTTCATTATTTCCTTTCCTTAGGATGGAAGAATTGCCCTAAGTCTCATGGCAAAACCCTCCAGTTTGAGTTTGATATGTCTCTTCATCAAGCATATTCTCTTTATACTCAGATTCAGCTACATTCTCTTCCTTTCTCTCTCTTTTTCTCACCAATACACATATGTCTAATGAATAGCCTCTTAAATCTCTTCCACTACTGTAAACAACCCAACAAAATGTTGACCACCTGTAGAATTAGGAATTGTACGGAAAAAAATCTAAATTTGCTATCGTTAATGTCTTCCTATTTCATGATGCGCTAATGAAGATTTAACTAGTGACTCTGTGAGTGTGGTTTCGGTGTGAGTGTTGGTTGATAGTTTCATTTGTATTAACTAGTAAAATAACAGTGAAATAATGCAGCTGTATGTTGGAAATTCGTTCACTTGTCAATAATGCAAGTGATTTCTTTGCTGAATCAGAATAATATATCTCCCCTTTTTTGTTACTTAATATGTATGAGGCACGGACATAACACACTTTAAAATTTAATGTAAATTATCAATGTTTCCTTACACTCTTATGTCTGGGGATTCAACAAAATAAGTCAAGTTCTGACAGTTTGTTGTTTCATATTTATGTGAAGGAAATAGGCCCATCACAGACAGTTTTAAACTCCAGAGTGATGTCACTGAGTACAAAGTTGAAAAGACGGGTTCAGTAGCATACCGTTATATAATATTTCTACCACATAGGTATAATAGGTAAATAGTCCAAACACACAGATAATAGAGCAATATAGCAAAACAATTAGAAAGTATGGGTTTGAATATTTATTGGAATATATTTAATTGTTATTTTTATATTATTCAATTGTTATTATAATAAGTATGTTTAGTAATCAGCTCTCAAAATTCCTAAAAATGTAACAATCAGCTTTTGTGAACTGGAACAAATTGACTTCAACTTGTGTTGTCATAAGCTCAACAGTTTCACAAATTACATTGTTCCCACCTGTGGGTACTTTGATGGAGATGAAATAAATACCAAATATCTCTCCCACATGACTTCTAAACAAATCAATAAATTAAAAATGTTTACATGGGAACCAAAAATCAACCTTTTGATGATAATAACTAAATTAGAGACTATTGTGTCAGGTTTGATAGCAAATACTGAAGCACCAGCATTAGGTAATTTACTCATTGTTATGTTTATTCCTAACCCAGCACCTATGAACGAGGCCATATTGGAAAATAGGGTCTTTGCGCATGATCAAGCTGAGATAAAACAACAAAATGGTCCCTATTCCAATATGACTGGTATCCTTACAAAAAGGGGATATTTAAGCACAGAGATAAACTCATACTGTTATAAACACAACCAAGATGATTCTCACATCAATATCTGAGGTCCAGATTGCTTTGAGGAGCTCACAGACAAGTTTGCTTCTGTCATTTGACCATTCACCGTTGTATCTACAACAGATATCTCAAACTCCACATTTTCAAAATTGAATCATGTTATTCCTACCTAAGTATTTTCCTTCTCTGTTTCCTAATGGGTTGTAAGGTACCACCATCCATGTACACAGGTTTAACATCTTAGGATCATCTTCTTTCTCCTATTACTACCTTGACTATTAAGTCACAAATTCCCAACATAACTTAATAACTTCCAAAATAGGTTCCTCATTGGTCTTAATCACCCATATTAATTTTATTAATTCAAATTTCCACACTGGATACCCTGGAAGACATATTATTTGTGAAACAAAAATTTTGTCATGTTACCTTTGTCATTAACATTATGAATGGCTCTTAATAAGCTTCCAAGGAAAGTATATATTCCTAAGAGTCTCCTTTAAATCATTGTTTACTTCTCAGGTGTCATTTTGTCACACATAAATATAAAAACAATTAAATTAATAATATATAATATTTTATGTTTTTATTTATATGTATATACACAGGCACATATTCATATTCACTGTAATTTATCTTTTGTATCTGTGGACCTGTATACAGGCTAGGTCTATCTGTAATGTTCATACTCCCAAACTTTCCTCTCTAGTTCCTCTTTGTTATTAAGACAATGTGAATATCTGTACAAATAGTGATTTAAAAGCTTATAAGGTGTATTTTATCTTCTTTGTTTTGCCATGTAAAAATACATATATTTCTAACTATTTTTCTTTATAGTATCTCAATTTTTGTCCCATTTAAGAAGCCCTTTAGCATCAAAGTTTTGTATTAGTATTTTTATATTTATTTTAACTTATTTTTAATTTTTTTTACAACTTAATCCTTGAATGACATGGGGATAATGTAGGCTTGCATCTTTTTTTTACAATCAACTATATTTAATGATTTGTTAAGAAAAAAATATGATTTCTGAGTGAATATATCTCATCTTAAGACTTTATTTTCCCACCAAAATGTTGCACTGGAGGCCTTGTTAGCATCCCTTTCTCACTTGGAATGGCAAAATAGTGTGTAGAGACTCACACTGCAAACTTTTTTCTAAGAAGCAACACAGGAACTTAACAGCAAAACAGAAAGAAATCACAAGTCCTTTGAAATAAGTGACAGCCTGCAGCCCACATGGTGAGCCAGGTGGAAAACTCTAAATCCTCAGAGTGTGAGAGGGAAAGAGACTGCCTTCAGGATGTACTCTCTCACTGGAGAGCGTGGCAATCCAGGCCAGGGGGAAAGGCCTTAACTGTACCCATTTCTGAAGATTATTTAGTGAGCGGTGGGGAGTAGATCAGAAGGAGTGGTATGAAGTCATGCTTTGTGTGTACTCCCAGACCCTAGTAAAGACAGACGGAAGCCATTTCTCATCCTACCTCTCAAGTGACCTCATGGAAGTCAGCCAGCTAACTCAGGAGACAGTCCCAGGTTGAGAGAAGCTCCTAGTGGAGATTCACGATATAATCTCCAGTAGGGACAAACCCCCTTGGCCAGAACCAAGGGGTGAATGGGAAGTGTGGTGTAGCCAAGGGCACAGGGGGTGGATAACCCTGCTTTTCAGACTGTTGAGGAGAGATATGGCCTGAAAGCCATGGTTTCTGTCTCATCAGAGAAGGCTAATGCCCAAGGTCAGTTTTGATTTCTGAGCACAGACTGTTTAGAACCTAGCTAGCTGCTACTAGTGGAATATTTTGGGTGTGAGACATGCCTTGCCAAGAGCATGGGACGTGGATGGGACTTGGTGCAGCCTACTCCTCCCCGCTCTCCATGCAGACTCCTGTGCAACAGATGCAGTTGCCCTCCTCCTTAGAACATTGTCCTATTAGCCAGGGAACTGCCCTTTGATCCCCTTTGGGGCTGCTGCTAGTACCCACACTTGGGGTGCCAGAGCACCACAGACTTGCCTGACCTAGCCCCCACCTGGCTTTGACCCTCCACTAGATACGGTAGTTTAACAAAAAGGACAGGATCTTTTGTGAGCTGTATGGCCCTGCCCACTGCTTGAGATACCAGAGTACCAGCCCTGGGTAACATAGAACAAACATAAATCCCACCATTACCTCCACAGCTTGTGATGGTTACTATGGGACTGAATGAAGGGGATGAATGCAGAAATGAAGATAAAGACAAAAGGTTCTGTTTTAAAGAAGGGGTCAGGGGGCTCCTTGCTTCTAGTGAGCAAGGGCCCTGAGTTTCTACAGTCCTTCATATTTATTGGGTAGAAAGAGCAGGGAGGAGGATGTAACGGTTGGTCAGCTGCTTGATTTATCACAGGTTCACATGATTGCTAACAGGCTTCAGATATGCCTGTAGATAATCACAAGAAACACTGCGCCTGGGGCGTGACTGCCCTCAGCATTCCTTCTGGGTGGCAGACGCAGTTTGTCAGTTTGCCAACAACCTGCATTCATGAGAATAGTTTGCTGTTTGCTCATATAGCCTCCAGTGGTATACTGAGTTGATCACGACCCTCATTTTATTATTATTATTATTATTATTACACTTTAAGTTTTAGGGTACATGTGCACAATGTGCAGGTTAGTTACATATGCATACATGTGCCATGCTGGTGTGCTGCACCCATTAACTCATCATTTAGCATTAGGTATATCTCCTAATGCTATTCCTCCCCCGTCCCCCGACCCCACAACAGTCAGTCCCCAGAGTATGATGTTCCCCTTCCTGTGTCCATGTGTTCTCACTGTTCAATTCCCACGTATGGGTGAGAACATGTGGCGTTTGGTTTTTGTCCTTGCGATAGTTTACTGAGAATGATGATTTCCAATTTCATCCATGTCCCTACAAAGGACATGAACTCATCATTTTTTATGGCTGCATAGTATTCCATGGTGTATATGTGCCACATTTTCTTAATCCAGTCTATCATTGTTGGACATTTGGATTGGTTCCAAGTCTTTGCTATTGTGAATAGTGCCGCAGTAAACATACGTGTGCATGTGCCTTTATAGCAGCATGATTTATAGTCCTTTGGGTATATAACCAGTAATGGGATGGCTGGGGATCACGACCCTCTGTCTTTTGGCCTCCATCAACATCTAGCATTATTTTGCAAGTGCCACTTCCTGGCTGGAGGCTAACCAACAGTCCATCACAGTATCTGCTGGCAGAATAGAACAGTCTCTTTCTCCTAGGGGATGGGGGAGTGTACCACATCAAGGGAACACTTTGTGGGACAAAATAATCCAGACAGCAGGCCTTGAGTCCCAGAATTTTCCACCTGTGGAAACTTTCTTTCAGCAGAAGCAGAGGTGCACTGTTGTATTCAGTGGGGAAAGCCTGTGGCTCTACCAAAACAATCAGGCAGCTCTGGTGCTCATAATAAAAGGTCTTGGAGAATGGAACTTCTCCCCCTTGTCCACCATTGCAGACACATCTGGGGCTTCTCCTACGGGAGCTTGTGTGGATGTACCTGTAGACAGCCTTTCTGGAACACATCAGGTTGACCACATCCCCAAAGGAATAGTGTCCTCCAGGTTCAGATTTGTACAATGGGTAGAGTCACAATCTGTCTTTACCTAGAACATCAGCATTCCTGCAGATGAAAAGAGGTACCTGTTTGATCTGAAATGCTGGCTCTCTGGGTCACGAGTGTGACTTGAAAAATAGATTGGTTTCCTGCTGACTCAGTAGTAGAGCTGAAGTGGCTACCTCTCTTCCTCCTGAATAGAACTCTGTGTGTTTCACTGAGAGCTCCTCCAGCTGCCTGTGTCAAGGCTGGACCTCTGCCCACAACTGAATATTGCAGTTTCACATCTGCTTTAGCCACAGCCCATTTTTACCCATGGACACCTCCTACTGTGCTGAAGCCTGAACTGCTCAACCCAGTGAATAAGATACTGGGGGGAAAAATTAATAAATAAAACAGTGTATACCACTTAGTAATGAAATATGCTTCATGAGACCCTTGCCATTACAACCCAACAGCAGACAGTGAACCTGCTCACATATTGAGCACATTGCTACTCCAACCAGCATCTAAGAAAACAACCATATAAAAACTCTTTAAAACCAAGGAAATTAAATAGAGTCTTCACCACTGAAAACACCTAGAACTGAATTAGGTTACCATTAACGATAAATATTAAATTCATACCCTCAAGGGAAAAAATGAAATTTTAAAAAGTCAAAACAAATATAAATTCACAAAACTTAGAAGAAATAGTTTATCCAAATGAGAAAAAAAAAAACAAAAAAATAATTCTGGCAATATGAAAATACAGGGTTCTATATGCCCTCAAATATCATACTAGCTCTCCAACAATGTTTCCAAACCAAGATAAAAGCTTTGAAATACTAGAGAAAGAATTTGGAAGGTTGAATATTAAGTTACTCAAGGAGATACAAGAGAAAGATGAAAACTAACAAAAAGAAATGTAAAAACAATCAAGGATATGAATGAAAAGATAGATATTTTAAAGAAAAACCAATCAGAATTTCTGGAAATGAAAGACATAGTTGGAGAATTACAAAATGCTGTGGAAAATAATAATAGACAAGATCAGGTAGAAGAAAACATTTTAGAGCTCAAAGGCAAGGCTTTCAAATTAACCCGATCAGTCAAAAATAAAATAGAATTGAGCTGGGGTTGGTGCTCATGCCTATAATCCTAGCACTTTTGGAGGCTGAGGTGGGTGGATTGCTTGAGCTCAGGTGTTTGCAATCAGTCTGGGTAACATGGTGAAACCACGTTTCTCCTAAAAATACAAAAAATTATCCCAGCATGGTGGTGTATGCCTGTGGTATTAGCTACTTGGGAGGCTGAGGTGGGAGGATCACTTGAGCCTTGGGGGTGAAGGTTGCAGTGGGTCAAGATAGTACCACTGCATTCCAGCCAGGGTGACCAAGTGAGACTCTGTCTCAAAAAAATAAATAAATAATAAATAAAAGTAAAGAATTAAAGAAATGATCAAAGTCTGCAAGAAATATGGGATTATATAAAACTTAAAAATCATTGTTATTCCTGAAGGAAAAGAAAAGGCAAAAAGTTTGGAAAACTTATTTAAGGGAATACTTGAGAAAAACTTATCTGGCTTTGTCAGAGACTTAGACATTCAAATATAAGAATCTCCAAGAACTCTATGGAGATTCATTGCTAAAACCACATTACCAATCTGTGTAGTCATCAGGCTATCTAAAGTCAACATGAAGGAAAAAATTCTAAGAGCAGTGAGACAAAAGCATTAGGTAATCTATAAAGAAAAATCTGTCAGACTAACAGTAGACTTCTCAGCAGGAACCTGATGAACCAGAAGGACTGGGGTCCTATCTTTAGCTTCCTTAAACAGAATAACTGTCCAGGAAGAATTTTGTATCCAGCAAAACTCAGTTTCATAAATTAAGGAGAAATAAAGTCTTTTTCAGACAATCAAATACTGAGGAAATTTGCCACTTCCAGACCAGCCCTACAAGAAAGGCTTAAATGAGTTCTACATCTTGAAACTAAAGGTCGAAATACACCAGAAAAGAACTCCTTGAACGCAAAAAACTCAAAGGGCTTATGATACAATAACACAATAAAGGCAATATTTAGGTAACAATCAACATGACGGCTGGAACAGTGCCTCATTATCTCAATATTAATGTTGAATGTAAATGGTTAAAAGCTCCATTTAAAGACAAAGATTGGCAGAATGAATTAAAAATTGCAAACCAGATATCTACTGTCTTCAAGAGGCAAACTTAATATGGAAGGATTGTTATAGACTCTAGATAAAAATGTGGAAAAAGACATGCTATGCAAATTGAAACCAAAAGTAAGTGGGAGTAGCTATTTGTACATCAGATAAGACAGACTTTAATGCAACAACAGTAAAAAGAGACAAAGGAGGTCATTATATAATCATAAAGGTCATTATATAATCATAAACAAGAACAAGATATGTTTTTGTTCCAGCAAGAACATACGACAATTCTAAGTGTATACGCACCAAATTTTGGGCTCCCAGATTCATAAAACAATTGCTATTGGACCTAAGAAAAGAGATAAACAGTATTAAGTAATACTGGGGAAATTTAACACTCCACTGACAGCACTAGACAGATCATCGAGGCAGAAAGTCAGCAAAGAAACATTGGACTTAAACTGCACTCTAGAACAAATGGACCTAACAGCTATTTACAGAAAGTCCTACCAAAGAAATGGAGAATACATATTCTTCTTATCAGCACATGGAATATGCTCCAAGATAGACCATATGATAGGCCACAAAGCAAGTCTTAATTATTTTTTTAAAATCAAAATCATATCAAGTATCTTTTCAGACCACAATGGAATAAAACTAGAAATAAAAAGGAAACCCTTGAAACTATTCAAATATATGGAAATTAAACAATCTGCTCCTGAATTATTTTGGGGTTAACAACGAAATCAAGGTGGGAATTTAAAAATTCTTCAAAATGATTGATAACACTGACAAAAGTTATCAAAACCTCTGAGATACAGCAAAAGCAGTGCTAAGTGAAAAGTTTATAGTGCTAAATGCCTGTCAAAAAGTCTGAAAGGTCACAAATTGACAACCTAACATCATACCTCAAGGAACTAGAGAAACAAGAAAAATGCAAATCCCAAGCTAACAAAAGAAAAGGAATAACAAAAATTAGAGCAGAACGAAATGAATTGAAACCAAAAGAACAACAAAAAAAATCAATGAAAGGAGAAGTTGGTTATTTGAAAAGATAAACAAAATTGATAGATCATTAGTTAGGTTAATCAAGATGAGAGAAGATTAAAATAAGTTCAATTAGAAATGAAAACGGAGGCCTTATAACTGACATCACAGAAATATAAAAGATAATTTGAGGCCGGGTGTGGTGGCTCACACCTATAATCCCAGCACTTTGGGAGGCCTAGGTGGGCAGATCACAAGGTCAGGAGATTGAGAACATCTTGGCTAACACGGTGAAACCCCGTCTCTACTAAAAAAACAAAACAAAACAAAACAAAACAAAAAATTAGCCGGGTGCGGTGGTGGGCACATGTAGTCCTAGCTACTCGGGAGACTGAGGCAGGAGAATGGCGTCAACCCAGGAGGCAGAACTTGCAGTGAGCTGAGATCGCACCACTGCACTCCAGCCTGGGCACTAGAGCGAGACTCTGTCTGGAAAAAAAAAAAAAAAGATAATTTGAGACTACTGTGATCATTTGGATGCAACAAACTAGCAAATTTAGAGGTAATAGATAAAATCCTAGAACATAGAGCCTTTCTAGCTTGAATCAGGAAGAAACAGAAATCCTAAGCAGAGCAATAATAAGCAGGAAGACTGAGTCAGTAATAAAAAAATTTCCAACAACAATAAAAAAGCCAAGGCCAGACCGTCACGGCCAAATTCTAACAGACATTCAAAGAAGAACTGATACCAGTCATACTGAAAATATTCCAAAAGACTGAGAAAGAGGACATCCTCCCTAACTCATATGAAGCCAGCATAACTCTGATACAAAAGCCAGGAAAAAATCATAATAAAAAAGAAAACTACAGACTAATATCTCTGATAAACATAGAGGCAAAAATCCTCAACAAAATACTAGCAAGCTGAATTCAAAGATTTCAGTTCAGATTCAGAAAGATAATTCACCATGATCAAGTGGGTTTCATTACAGGGATGCAGGGATTGTTCAACATATACAAATCAATAAATGTAATTAATCACATAATTATAATTAAAAACAAAGACCATATGATCACCTCAATAAATGCAGAAAAAGCACAATTTTCAGTAAAATTTAGCATTGATATATGATAAAAACCTTCAATAAACTAGGCATAGAAGAAACATATTTCTAAATCATAAAAGCCATATATGCCAAACTTATAACCAACATCATATTGAATGGGGAAAAGTCGAAAGCATTTTAAAAAATAGAACAAGACAAGGATACCTACTTTCACCACTTCTATTCAACATAGTACTGGAATTCCAAGTCAGAGCAATCAGGTAAGAGAAAGAAAGAAAGGGCACCCAAATTGGAAAAGAGAAAGTCAAACTATCTCTGCTGACAATATGATTGTATACCTAGAAAACCCTAAAGACTTCTTCAAAAGACTTATAGATTTGAAAAATAAATTCAGTAGAGTCTCAGGTTACAAAGTCAATGTACAAATATCAGCAGTGCTGCTACACACCAACAATGAACAAGTGACCAAGTTGAGAATCAAATCAAGAACTAAATTTTTTTACAATAGCTGCAAAAGCTAAAATAAAATACCTAGTAATATACATAACAAAGGAAATGAAAGATCTCTACAAGGTTAACTAGAAAACTGTGCTGAAATAAATTATAGATGGCACAAACAAATGGAAATGCAATGCATGCTCATGGATTGGAAGAGTCAATATTAGTAAAATGACCATACTTCCCAAAGCAATCTACAGATTCAATGCAATTCCTATCAAAATGCCAATATAACTGTTCACAGAATTACAAATAACAAACCTAAAATTTATATAGAACCAAAAACGTGCCTTTCTAGCCCAAGTAATCCTAAGAGAAAGGAACACATCTGGAGGCATTACATTACCCAACTTCAAATTATACTACAGGGCAATAATAACCAAAACAGCATGGTACTGGTATAAAAGTAGATACATAGACAAATGGAACAGAATAGAGGACTTAGAAATAGAGTAAAATACTTACAACTAACTGATACTCAATAAAGCATTAAAAAAACATAAATTGAGTAAAGGACATCCTATTCAATAAGTAATGCTGAGAAAACTAAATAGCCACATATAGAAGAATGAAATGAGATACCTATCTCTTACCATATCCAAAGTCACTGCAAGATGGATTAAATACTTAAATATAAGACCTGAAGCCATACAAATTATAGAAAAAAAAATCTGAAAAAAACTCTACTCAACATTGGCCCAGGCCAAAAATTATGACAAAGATTACAAAAGCAAATGAAAGAAAACCAAAAATAAATAAATAGGGCCTAATTAAAACAAAAAGCTTATGCATAGCAAAAGAAATAATTATCAGAGTAAACAGACAACTCACAGAATGGGAGAAAATATCTGCAAATTATGTATTCAACAAAGGACTAATATCCAGAATTTACAAGGAACTCAAACAGATTGGCAATAAAAAATAAATAATTCCATCAAAAAGTGGGCAAATGGCATGAATAGAAATTTCTCAAAAGAAGATATACACATGGCAAAAAACATGAAAAAATGCTCAATATTGCTCATCTTCAGGGAAACACAAATTAAAACCACAATGTGATACCACCTTGCCCAGGACAGAATGACCATATTAAAAGTCAAAAAACAATAGATGTTGATGTGGATGAGATAGTGATAGCAGGCAGACAAATTCCTAGGCAGACAGGGGCAGGTCCCCAGTGAAACTTGACCTTCAAGTCAAGGACACTCTGAAGCCTGAACATCAAACTACCAGATTCAGACAGAGTCCACAGAGCAGAGTGAGAACTTCCATTCCCGTTCAGTGCACTCTGCTCTGATTGGTCCCAATCCAAGTTCCTGGGCCAAACTTTCACTCCAGCTCCTGACTGGTCTCAGCCCAAGGTCCTGAGAGAAGCCTTCACTTCGGCCCCCAGTTGATTATCTACACTAATTATCTCTTTTTGAATGATGCCTTTTCCAAGCCTACCTATAAAACAATCAGCATGCATTTCCTCATTATAAGCCAATAAAAGCCCCAGACTCAGCCTTGTAGCCAGCAACCCACTTTTGGGTCCCCTTTCACTGCTGAGAGCTTTCTTTCTGTTACTCAGTAAAACTCTACTCTGCCTTATTCACTCTCTGGTGTCCACATACCTCATTCCTCTTGGTCATGAGAAAAGAAGTTAGAACTTGCCGAACTGTGGGAGTAGAAGAGCTGTAACACTGTCTCCCACTTGTTGAACTATGGGAGTGAAGGAGCCACAACAGATGTGGTGAAAAGGAATGCTTATACACTGCTGGTGGGAATGTAAATTAGTGTAACCTCTATGGAAAACAGTGTGGAGATGTCTCAAAGAACTAAAAGTAGATCTACCTTTCAATCCAGCAATCCTACAACTGAGAATCTTTCCAAAGAAAAATAATTTATGATATAAAAAAGACACCTGCACACATATTTTATCATGGCACAATTCACAATTACAAAGATATGGGATCAACTTAAGAAGTGCTCATCAACTGATAAGTGAGTAAAGAAATGTGGTATATATATACACCATGGAATACTACTTGGCCGTAAAAATGAAATAATGTCTTTTGCAGACTCTTGGGTGGACCTGGGGACCATTATTCTAAGTGAAGTAACTCATGGAAAACCAAATACCATATGTTCTCATTTATAAGTGGGAACTAAGTCATGGCCAAGCAAAGGCATACAGAGTGGTATAATGGTACTGTAGACTCAGAAGAGGGAGGATGGTTGGGACACGAGGAAAAAAACTATATATTGGGTACAATGTGCACTACTTGGGTGATGAATGCACTAAAATCTCAGACTTTACCACTAAAATATTCATCCATGTCACCAAAAACCACTAAAATACAGTATATTGTATTGCAAAATTTTTCATGAATAAAGTGAAATTTAAAGATCAGTAAATTAATGTTTGCACTCATTTGCACAAATAGCACTCTATTACAGTGACTTTATGAAAGCTATCTAAATATATATATATTCACATATTTCAATCATTTCACCTATTTCAGTAACGTAAATTGTATGTTCCTTGTTAAATACTCTCTTGCATTTACAGCAAATATACCATCAATTTTTAAAATGTTATGTATTTTATTTAAATCAAATTGCCTCTGCCTAAAATATCAACAAATAAAAAGGTTTTTAAAAATATTTTAATGTATTTATTTATTTTTTATTTCAATTTTTTAGGGGTTATATCCATTTATACTTATAGATAGCATTAAAATACTATTGACTGAGAGCAATTCTCCTCTCTACTATCAGGATCTCTAATATTAAACATATACTTAGACATACAACTCTTCTATCTGTTAGAATACTGTTACTTAGTATTTTCTGTAAGTTTGGGCAAATGAATCAATAACTCTAAATCAATGGCTCTTAATCTGTGCTTCCCAGTAGGGCAACATCAATCTCACCTAGCAACTTCACAGAAATGAAAATTCTTAAACCTCACTGTAGTCCTATTGAGGAAGGAATCTAACATATTTTAGCAAGCCCTTCAAGTCATTCTAGGGCAAGTTAGTTTGAGACCTATTGCTCTATGCCACGGTTGTGCAATAGAACTTTCTGTGATAATGGAAATGTTCTCTATCTATACTATCCAATGCATGAGCCAGTAGTCTCATAGGCCTACTGAGTATTTAAAATATGCCTAGTGTATTAGTCTATTCTCATGCTGCTATGAAGAAATACCTGAGACTGGGTAATTTATAATGAAAAGAGGTTTAACTAAGTCACAGTTCCACATGGTTGGGGAGGCCTCAGAAAACTTACAGTAATGGCAGAAGTGACCTCTTCACAGGGCAGCAGGAGAGAGAATGAGAGCCAGCAGGGGAACTGCCAGATGCTTATAAAACCACCAGATCTCATGAGAAATCCCTCACTATCATGAGAACAGCATAGGAGTAAAAACCCCCATGATTCAATTACCTCCCACCGGGTCCCTCCCATGACACATAGGGATTATTAGAACTACAATTCAAGATGAGATTTGCGTGAGGACACAGCCAAGTCCTATCACCTAGTATAATTGAGGAACAGAACTTTTTATATTATTTAATTTTAATTCATCTAGAGCTAAAAAGCCACATGTGACCAATGGTTATTATTTTGGGCAGCACTGGTCCAAGTGACCTCACAACTTCATGTGATTAGAATCCGAGAAGATTAGATTCTAAATGAAATATGTTATTATCAGTGACTAACAATGAAATCCTTGGTGCCAAAATTTACTATAAGGAAAAATAAGCCTATTAGGATTTTGAATGATACATGGTGACTGTAATAATGGAGTCAATTATTTTGGCAAATTTAATGAAGTAAAGTTTATTTAATACTGTTTTCATTTTTTACCAAAAATGTATATGAATATGGACACTTATACCACATGCAAAAATCAGCTAAAAGTGAATTAATGACTTAAGATTTGAAAATGTAAAACTCCTAGAAGAAAGTATATTGGAAAAGTTTCATGACACTGGTTTTGGCAATGATTTCTTGAATATGATACCAGAAGAACAAACCAAAAAAAAAAAAAAAAATGTAAAAGTAGAAAGTGGTACTATATCAAAGTAAAAAGCTTCTGCATAGCAAAGGAAAAAAACAACAGAGTGAAAAGGCAACCTATAGAATTGGAAAAAATATTTACAAACCATATCTGTTAAGAGGTTAGTAGCCCAAAGATATAAATAGCTCCTACAGCTTACTAACAAAATAATAAATAACCTAATTAAAAATGGGTCAAATGGCCAGTGTGGTGGCTCATGCCTGTAATCCCAGCACTTTGGGAGGCCAACGCGTGTAGATCACTTGAGGCCAGGAGTTTCAAACCAGTATTGCCAACATGGCAAAACCCCATCTCTACTAAAAATACAAAAATTAGCCAGGCGTAGTGGTGCATGTCTGTCAATCCTAGCTACTCAGGACGCTGCAGCATGAGAACTGCTTGAACCCAGGAGGTTAAGGTTGCAGTGAGCCAAGATGGTACCAATGCTTTCTATCCCACTTACAGGTATATATATATATATATATATATATATATATACACACATATACATATATATATATATATATACACATATACACACACACATATAAATTGAAAATTGAAGTCAGGATCTTGAAAGCACATATCTGCATTTATTTTTCTTTTTCCTTCTTTCTTTCTTTTTTTTTTTTTTTTTGAGACGGAGTCTCGCTCTCTCTCCCCGGCTGGAGTGCAGTGGCACAATCTTGGCTCACTGCAACTTCCACATCCCACGTTCAAGCATTTCTTCTGCCTCAGCCTCCCGAGTAGCTGGGATTACAGACAAGCATCACCATGCCTGGCTAATTTTTGTATTTTTAGTAGAGATGGGGTTTCACCATATTGGCCAGGCTGGTCTAGAACTCCTGACCTGGTGATCTGCCTGCCTCGGCTTCCCAAAGTGCTGGGATTACAGGCTTGAGCCACCATGCCTGGCTCCCATATCTGCATTTCTGTATTCACTACGGCATTGTTCACACAATAGCCAAGATATGGAAACAACCTAAATGTCCCCTAATGGGTGAATGAATTTAAAAAATGTAGTATATGCATGCAACAGAGTATCACTTAGCTTTTAAAAAGAAGAAAATCCTGCCATTTGTGACAACAGGGATGAACCTGCAAGACATTATGCAGTGAAATAAGCCAGTCACAGAAAGACAAATACTGCATCATTTGATTTACAAGAGGTACATAAAATAGTCAAACTCATAGAAACAGAACAGAATGAGTAGAATGGTGGTTGCCGGGCACTGGCAGTAGGGGAAAATGTGGAGTTGCTCTTCATTGGGTATATTATTTTAGTTATGGAAGATGAATTAATGCCAGGGATGTGCTGTCCATTCTTGTGCCTCTAGTTAAAAATACTGTAAAGTTTTTCAAAAGGTATGTCTCATGTTGTGTTCTACAAAATGTCGGAGACATTTATAGTATCAGAGACATTCTCTTTCTGGCCTTGAAGAAGAAAAGTCCATATTCTATTGTCAAAAGGGCCACAGAGCAGCGCTTGACAACTGGCTTCTAAAAACTGAGGGCCTCGGCCGGGCGCAGTGGCTCACGCCTGTAATCCCAGCACTTTGGGAGGCCAAGGTGGGCGGATCATGAGGTCAGGAGACCAAGACCATTTTGGCCAACATGGTGAAACCCCGTCTCTACTAAAAATATGAAAATTAGCTGGGTGTGGTGGTGTGCACCTGTAATCCCAGCTACTCGGGGGGCTGAGGCAGAAGAATCCCTTGAATCTGGGAGGTGGAGATTGCAGTGAGCCAAGATTGCGCCACTGCATTCCAGTCTGGTGACAGCAAGACTCCAACTCAAAAAAAAAAAAAAAAAAGAAAGAAAAAGAAAAAAAAAGTAAATAAATAAATAGAACTTAGGGCCTCAATTTTATAACTGCAGAAATTTGAATCCCACCACCAACCAGTGAATTTGGAAGAAGAGGCTGAACCTCAAGTTAGATTGCAATCCCAGCTAACATGTTGAATTCAGTCTGGTGAGACCCTGAGCAGAGAACATACTAATTTTTGCATAGACTCCTGACCCATATAATTAAGAGATTATAAATCTGCATTAAGCTTTAACATGTATAGCTTTAAGCTACTAGGTTTGTGATAATTTTGTTACATTACAGTAAAAAATCTAGTGTAGTAGGAATGTTTTCTCTGGTGAAAATATTTGAATGATTGAGAGTAGGATGGGGAAGTGGGTAGGACACTCCAGCCTCTTCCTGACGAAACCCTTAAAACCTAATACACATGAGAATAACCTCTGTTTTCCATAAGTAATTGTGCTTTGACAGTTTCCCCCACTTCAAACATACAGGTCTATGAGATAGCTACGTGAATATTATTACAAGGAAGATATGATAAAAGCTCTTCTTTTAAAACAGTCAAAATCATAACTCTATCAACCATCTCAAAAGAATCTTATCTCCCCAGAAAAAGACAAAACATTTGAAGTCAAAACAAATCTCTTCTATTTAGGTCCTCGTCCAAAGGAGATCAAAATATAACTTTCGTGATGATCAATGAAACAGTATTTAAATTTTATTAAATAGTACTCCATAATCTTTAATATTGAAGTTTTTTTTGTATCAGATTCTGGTGTAGATGCCAATTTCAGATTCTAATTTAGCCCTTTCATTCCCCAAAACACATTATAAACACACACGCACACACACACACACACTCACACACACACGTACACAAAGAATCCTTTTTATTTTGGAAGAATTCATAAACTATAATTACTTAATTAGAGTAATTAAATAAATGTAATTGCAATTAGATTACTTACTAGAACTAGTAGTATCTAAGTATCTTGCTTCACATGTCACTGTATGTGAGAAAATACATTTATCCTTCCATATCTATCAGTACACCTGTCACTGGATTATGAGGCTGAAGACATTCTAGTTTCTGTTTCATTGAGTGGGAAATAAGTAGGACGGAGAGGCTGGTTGTCAATGACATGACAAATTGCTTCCTCTAAAGGAGCAGAAAGTTGTCTTATGGTAATAGAAAAACTAAAAACTAAGCCCAAACTGTTTCTCTCGCTAATCTTTTCACTTGATCAAAAATTATAATCCGGCCTATTTGATGAAGAATTTAGAACAATTACTATAGATATTCTTTTGAAAAAATATTTAATTAATGTAAGACAATGTCAAGAAAATAAAAAGACAAGAAACAGACTGGGAGAGAGTATTTACAAAAGACATCTAATAAAGGATTGCTGTTTAAAATACACAAAGAATACTTACAACTCAACAAGAAGAGAACAAACAACCCAATTAAAAAATGGGCAAAAGACTTGAACAGACACCTCACTAAACACATGCAAATGGCAAGTACACGTTAAAAAGATGTTCAATATCATATGTCACTTGGGAATTGCAAATTAAAAAAAATAGATACCACTACACATCTCTTAGAATGGCCAATCTAAAACATGGACCACACCAAATGCTTGCCAGGTTGTTGAGCACCAGGAACGCTCATTCAGAGCTGGTGAGAATGTAAAGCAGTACAGCCACTTTGGAAGACAGTTTGATATCTTTGAACAAAACTGAGTATACTCTTACCAAATATCCAGAAATTGTTCTCCTTGGTATCTACTCAAATAAACTGAAAATTTATATCTGAAAAAATATTTGGACAAGGATGTTTGTAACAGCTTTATTCATAATTGCTAGAACTTGGAAGCAACTAAATAGGTAAAAGTATAAATAAATTGTGGTACATCCAGACAATGGAATATTTAACACTAAAATTAAGTAAGCTACTAAGCCATAAAAAGACATGGAAAAAGTTTAAATACATATTATTAAGTAAAAGAAGTCAATCTGAAAATGCTATGTACTATATTATTTCAACTATATGACATTCTGGAATAGGCAAAATTATGCAGACAGTAAAAAAGAAATTGGTGGTTGCGAGGGGATATGAGAGGGATGGATAAATAAGCAGAGCACAGATGAGATTTTGGGCACTGCAACTATTGTGCATGATGCTACAATGGTGGATATATGTCATTATACATGTGTCAAAACCCATAAAATACACATCACCAAGCATGAACCCTAATGTGAACTATGGGCTTTGGGAGACAATAAAGTGTCATGAGTCCTAATGTAAACTGTGGAATTTAATAGTTTAATAATGATATGATGTGTAATAATGATGTGTCAATGTAGGTTTATCAATTGTAACAAATATACCACCATGGAGGTGGATATTGATAATGGGAGAGGCTATGCATGTGTGGGGGAATAGGATATATGGGGAATCTCTGTACCTTCAGTAGATTTTTTGGAGACAACTAAAACTGTCCTAAAAGTAAAGTCTATTAAAACTTAGGGGTGACATTTTTATAAAATGGAAAAGTACAATACTGAAAATTCTAGCTCATATATGAATTAACATTTATCAGGTTGATATATTAGTAATTAGGGGCTTTGTAAAGACTAAGGAATAGGATCACAATTCCTGTGCGAAGAGATATAAAAAGGCTTATTCTGATCCCTGCTGCTGGAACATTTAGTGAGTCCAATTTCTTCTTGTTTTGGGACATAAGTTTAGAGAAGTTAAACTCTATTTAGCTCTGAACCTAAAAGTTCTCTGAAAAAATACTGTCTATTAAAATATTTAATGAGAAAGAACAGGAAAATCATTAAGGAAAATTATGAGTTAGTAAAATAATATTTTACAGACATAAGAAAATTCATCTCAGAGTAACATATACATAAAAAGAATCATGTTAGGTACACACATACACAAAAGCTGAAAATTCAGAAAATAGTTATAGTGGAATATCTTACATCTATTGAGTACATTTTATGTGCTAAATCTTGTTCTGAGTGCTCTACATAGGTTAATTTATTTAATTGTTAATGGAAAACTACTGAGTGATGCCCATTACTGTTAAACTTTGTCATTGAGGAATTGGAGCACAGAGATATAATGTAATTTATCCGGGATTATACAAGTAATAAGTAGTAGGTCAAGGATTTGACAAGTAGGTCAAGGCATTGGAGTTCTAGAGTCTCTGTACTTATTCTATGCTCTGTTTGCCTCCCAACTAAATACTTAATTGTGAAATGTGAATAAAATAGCTCTTTCTCTCATCAAAAGAAGTATAAGATTATATCTGAAGACAAAAGGCACTTTGAGTTGGAGGAAGGGGCATTGTAGATGTTGAGACTGAGGGAAATTGAAACAACTAGTGAAAAGATATAATGATTTTGAAGGTAAATTGCAAAGTAAAATAATCCTCGGAGGAGGGTAGATAATCAAATAAAAGTAACAAATTAAGTATAGTTGATAAAGTTTGGAATAGATGAAATAAATGCAATAAATATTTTTAAAAAGATGAGTGGCGATGTTTAAGATAGTCAAAGCAGAGCTGTGGTTATAAAAGCTAAAGCATAACTTTAGCTTTGCATATTTTCTATTTGCATAGAAAATAGACTGATTTAAGAGAACTGGGTATTGGTATAAACTTGTCCACTGAGACCAGCAGAAATCTAAGATTTTCCTAAAAGTAAGTGTCACAGTCCTTTTTTTAATATTTGTTATATAAAAATCTGCAAGCAAATGTCCTGATTAACATCTAATTCGATGCCAAAGAATAAGTGGAATTGGTACTAAAGGAGAAATAACGCTGAGATTCCATTTTCTTTGATTACAACCTAGTTGACTATAAAAGGCAGGTAGATAGAATGGGAGGATAATAAAGAAACAACAAAGAGAAGTTATACAAATTTACCAAAAAATAACACAAATATGTTTATTTTTTTAAAAAAAAAGGTGCTGCAGAACTAAAAGAAAAAAAGTTGTACAAAATCAGTAGCATTTGTATACCCCAATAATATGCAAGTGGAAAGCCAAATCGAGAATGCAGTCTCATTTATGATAGCAACAAAAAAAAATAAAATACCTAGGAATACATCTAACCAAGGAGGTGAAAGATCTCTATGAGAACTACAAAACACTGCTGAAAGAAATAATAGAAAATACAAACAAATATAGAAAACATTACATGCTCATGAATTAAGAGAATAAATGTCATTAAAATGGCCATACTACCTAAAGCAAAGTACAGATTCATCACTATTTCTATTAAGCTACCTATGTAATTTTCACGGAACTAGAAAAAATCTATTCTAAAATTTCTTTGGAACCAAAAAAAGAGCTTGAATAGCCAAGGCAAATATAAGCAGAAGGAACAAAGCCAGGTGCATCACATTATCTTACTTCAAACTATACCATAAGGGTACAGTAACCAAAACAGCATGGTACTGGTGCAAAAACAGGCACCCAGGCCAATGGAACAGAATAGGGAGGTGATTTACCTGCTTACATAAGTATCCACCATATTACCATGCAAAATGAATCTTTCAACTGGCTTTGTTCATTGAATAACAGAAAGCAGAAGGTTGTGATCCCAATGAGACAGAGTCATTTTGAAAACAGTTTTGTGCATGGAGCACTTTTCAAACTGCAGCACAGGAAGTGGACCTTAATCACATAGCAGTGGTCTTGCTGAGTAAAATAGGTAGAGATCAGGGGATGGGGCTGTTGAGACGGCTACAATTTGAGGGATAGTTAACTAGAGAAGGTGGAAGTAAGCAAATCCCAAAAACTGCTTCCTTCAGCCAGTATCTCAATATTAAGTTGTACATATAAAAAACAACATTCTGAGAGGTCAGGCAGAGAACAGTCCTAGAGAGCTGTGAGTAAAATAGAGATTACAGAAGTTATACAAGTGAGACAAAAGTTATACAGGGCAACGCTGGAGATCTGATCATATAAAATAAAGTGACCTTGCTGTAAAACACACAGTTTTTTCAAGAACATATGGAGCATTCACAAAGATGAACTATCGTTTGAAATGTAAAATAAGTCTTGATAAATTTCTGACAAAAGTTAAATTAAATTAGAATCAACAACAAAAGTATGTAGAAAATTTTCAAATAGTCAGAAACTGTTTAATACCATTCCATATGATCATGAATAGCTGAATAAATAAATTGTAAGGATATAAAAATATTTGGAACTTCATATGAACATAATCAGAATTTGGGATGCTTAAAGAAATTTTTAGAGCTTTAAGTCTTTATGATCAATGGACAAAGTTTTCATCACTAGATGGTGGGAAAACAGGAGTAAATTAAACCTAAAATAAATTAAAATATGGAATAAATATACATAAAAGCTGAAAACAATAAAAGAAAAATCTTGAGAGAAATATCAATAAAACTAAAAGCAAGTTATTTGAAAAGGTTCATAAAACTGATAAAATCCTGGCGGAGTTAACAAAAAAGTCACAGTGATTATTTCGAGTTGCAATTTCATTTGAGGTTTTTCTGTCCCCCTCAAGTTCAAGGGTTGTTGGTAGAATTATCAATATTACAAGTAAAAGAGGGGGCATTAATACAGATCTTATGATGGACATTAAAAGGTAATAGAGAGAAAATATATATAATTTTATAATTACTAATTTTACACCTTAGAAGACATGTATAACATTTTATAAAATACACGAATTATACTGACATAAGAAGAAAGAGAAAGTCTGAAGGGCCGTGTGTTAATTGATACAGTGAAAATTAATACAGTGAAAAAATTATTCTTCTAACAAAAAACAAAATCTTGCATTTGAAGAAAATTTTAGCTCCAGATATCTTCACAAGTAATTTGTTTTAAATATTTAAAAAGAAAATAATGCCAGCATTGTACAAAATGATTCAAATACAGGGAAAAAGAACATTCCCGATGTCATCCAATGGCACCATTGGAACACAGTGCTTAAACTAAGAATATGTAAATAATTGGGCAGATATACAATGCTCAAGGACAGAAAGAGTCAATATTTTTAAGGTGTCCACTCCTCTCAAATTGATCTGAATATTTAAAGAAATCTCATGCCAAGTTCACGGGGCTCTTATGGTCACCTGACTGTTTTCTGTTGAAGAGTTATATTAACCGTAAACATTTTAAATTAAGTGAAAAATTTCAATTCTAGTTAGGAAGTTAGAGAAAGTAATCAGTTTACATATATGTATGTGTGTGTGTGTGTATGTATGTGTGTGTATACATATGTGTATATATATAGATGTATATATATACATATATACACATATATATACACACACATATATACGCATGTATACATATATGTGTGTGTGTGTATATATATATATATATATATATATATATATAGTTTGTTACAGAGTACAACAGAGACTATGCAGAACAAATGGTTGCTTTGAAGAAAATCAGGCATAAAATTAAGTGTGCTAACCAGGAGAGGGCTGAAAAAGTGTTTTGGAGGAATCAAATAGATTATACATGAAGGAATTTGGATTTGGACTCCCAACTCCACTACTACGTACTGCTGTAGCAAAATGTAAAGTAAATGGCTATAAAGCACACAGTAAACTAACTCCTAATAAATATTGTTATCATTACTAATATTAATTTTGAACACAAGAACCAAGGCTTCAGAGTTTTAAGAACCTATGTAAGGTCATTACAGTGAACAGAAAAATGCATTTAAAGACTCAACCATTGGAATGCAGATGATGTTTTAGGATCACAGTGAAGCCCCTTTCCCTGAGTTCAGCTCTCTCATTAGCTTGTCTTTTCCCCAAATGGAAAACAAACAAACAAACAAACAAACAAAACAGAGAAACAGATGGAATAAGTCCATTTGCATTCATTGAAGTCTATACTCTATGTATCAATACATACATAGAGTGTAGACTCATCTGATGGTTTATCCAAAATTCTTCAGAGAAAACAATCTAGCATTCACATAGAAGGCCTTCTGCAAGATTTTATTTGTATTACTCTCTGATCCAATCAAAATAATTAAAAATTATAAAAACACATTTTACGTTTTGATAACCCAAATTTGAATATAAACCTTGTTTTCCTTGTTCTTTGACATCAAGTAATTAAAAACTAAAAATTAACTTATTTTGAATGGAAAGATAGAGTAAGGAAAATTAAAAAGTTTGTTTTATTTTTTTCCCTCAGGAAACCTTTTATCTTCCATAGCTCAATCCTTGCCTCTTGGAAAAGCCAAATGTCCTCACCTCTTTCAGTAAGGCATTAATACCTGTTGTGAAAAACCCTTACCAATGCTAATTGTTCCAGCAAGCAGTGAAAGGGGAACAGCAGGCCTAGAGGTTATATGTGAAGACCTACAATACAAAGAAGTTCTATTCTTCATGGGCCTCTAAGCATGCAGCTAAGCCTCCTGATTATAAAAGGTACAGAGTGCCATTAAAAGGCATCAAGATCTCCTGAAGACAATTATAACGCATATAACATCTGTTCTCAATCATGGGCGACAGGAGAGAAAATGTGCACCGCATGATACGTTACATATGACAAAGAAGTCCAGCTGTGGGAAGAAAGGCATGTGAAAAGGCAATGGCTAAGAAAGAATAGTGCAGAGTGAGCATTGTATGACAGTGACCCATGGTGATCTCTTTGAGTAGCTCTGTGGTGCCAAAATCTGTTTGTTCTCTTTTAAAAAAGGGCCACCTGTGATATCGTCAATTATTGATACTTTTCATAAAGCAGTAGTATTTACAAGATAATTTGAATGTAACATTTCAAATAACAAACTAAAAGTGCTACATGGAGCAAAGCATTTTCTTAGCCCTTGGTTCTAATAGTCAGGATCAAAAATGCCTTTATCTCCTTTTGCAAATCTGTGTCATTCCAAACCATTTTTATATAATTTGAAATATAATTATAATAATCTCATAATGAATATTAATACAAATAATGAATGTTGAAAATAATAACTAGAAAAAATTTTGCCACCACTTACACATCTGGCTTCATTACTTCTCTTCCTCTCTCATTTTACCAGACTCCAGTCACACTGCCTCCTTGTTCTTCCAGCATAACATGAATCTCCAGATGGGTGCTCCTATATGCCGATTCTGCCTACTTGGAATGGTATTTACCAGGTGTCCACAAGGCTTGCTTCCTCACGACCTGCACACATTTAACTAGCATACTGCCGTCAGAGGAAGGCCTTTCCAATAAAATCTGATTAAAATAAAAATCATTACACACTCATCCTGTTTCTAATTTATTATTTCACAGAGCACTAGTTAGCATCTAATATACTATTTTCCTTGTTTTTCATTTTGTGTATTTACAATTATTTCCTGGAAAATGTAAGCTTTGTGAAATTAGGAGATGGGGGTTCTTTTGTTCAATGCTATCTACCTGACACTTACAATAGTGCATCGCACATGATAACAGTTCAAAATTATTTCTTAAATGATTGGATTGCCTTAGGATTTTTCTAGTTCTATAAATTTTACTTGTACAGTAAAGGGATAACCCAGTGAGCTTGGTGGGCTCAAACGTTGAATATTCCAAACATAGTGCTGGCCCCTTACTTGTTCCAGGGAGATAACCTCTGAGCCCTTGGAATATTCTGCCTATAAGAATGTCTTTGTATCCTTGAGAATCTGGGCCATACCAGATAGTTCATGCCAATAATGTAACTTTTAGTGTACAGCTGTTTTTGTGTACCTGGGGATTTGGGCCACTCTGTATCAGTTTGACCTCTGATGGGATGGAGCCAAATAGAGCAGTTTGGTTATGTGGGTGCCTCATGCCTACAAGACTGACTGCCAATAAAAACCCTGTCCTCAAAACTCAGCTGGGCTTCTCTGTTTGCCAACACTTACGTGTCACCATACGTCATTGCTTGGAGAATTAAATGGTGCCTGTTTGATGCCACTAGGGAAGAATAATTGAGGGCTTGTACCTGGTTTCTCCTAAATTCTATAGGATAAATTGTGCACTATATACCTTTTTCCTTTGCTGATTTGCTGATAAAATCAGCAAAGGAAAGGGTATAAAAAATGTAAGCCACAGGTTTTCACATATGAAATAGATATGTAAATAATATACTTAGTATTTAGTATGTAGTATATTTATTTAGTAATTTAGTATATGCATGCATATAAAGTAAAATCATACCCTACTATATTATTTTGTTTCATTTATCTTTTTATTATTTACATAGGCACTAGAAAGATTATATAATCTAAGTTCCAGATAGCAAATACAAAATGTTCTGCTCAACATCAGTCTGTTCCAGTCTGTTCAAAAGCCAGGTAGCCGTTAGACCTTTCAGACAGCTTTCAGACATGTCTAAAAACCCTCTCAGTAATGCTTACATTTAAATTATTTTTAGGCACATTAACTTTTGATCACAAACAAAGCATAATTAAGCACTTATTGTTTTTAATAATATTCAATTTAGATAGCACTGCAGATACTCTAATTTTCTGTCATTTCAAGATATCTATGTAAATTTAGTTAATTAAAAAATAATTTTAATGCCTCTTGATTTGCATTATAATTTCTAAATTAGCTATTTCCATTAAACTATTATTCAAATAATATTATACTTTTCCTAAAAAGAGATATTATATTTTTGGTATACACAGATTGAGAAAAGTAGTATGGATTTTGAAAATAAAATTCTAAAACCCACTTAGTTATAATTGATTTATGGTCATCATTGTATGCTATGTGAATATATTTACTACCACAGATTTTCCAAAAACACACAAATGTCTATATTTTCTTTACTTTTATTTTAATTTCTGTTGTACATGTGAAGGCTTGTTACATAGGTAAATTGCATGTCGTGAGGGTTTGGTGTACAGATTATTTCATCACCCACATAATAATCATAGCACCAATGATAGTTTTTCAATTCTCTCTTTCCTCCCACTCTCCACCGTCAAGTAGGCCCTAGTATCCATTGTTCCTTTCTTTGTGTCCATGTGTACTCAATGTTTAGCTGCTGCTACTTAAAAGTGAGACTATGCAATGTTTGGTTTTCTGTTCCTGCATTAGTTCATTTACGATTATGATGGATTACGGCCTGCACCTTTATCCATGTTGCTGCAAAGGAAAAATATCATTCTTTTTCATGGCTGCATGGTATTCCATGGTATATAATCACCACATATTTTTAATCCAGCCTACTGTTGATGACAATTTATGTTGATTCCCTGACTTTGCTATTGTCATTAGTGCTGTGATGAACATAGACATGCATGTGTCATTTTTTCTAACTTCTATTTTAAGTACATGGGTACATGTGCAGGTTTGTTTTTTAGGTAAATGTGTGTTATGAGGGTTTGTTGCACAGATTATTTCATCACCCAGCTTATAAGCATAGTACTCCTTAGTTATTTTTCTTGATACTCTTCCTCCTCTCACCCTCTGCCTTCTGGTAGACCCTAGTGTTTGTTGGTCCCCTCTATGTGTCCATGTGTTCTCATCATTTATCTCCCATATATAAGTGAGAACATGCAGTATTTGGTTTTCTGTTCCTGCATTAGTTTGCTAACGATAATGGCCTCCAGCTCCATCCATGTTCCTGCAAAAGGATATGATCTGATTCTTTTTTATGACTGCATAGTATTTCATGGTATATATGTACCACGTTTTAAAATCCAGTCTAACATTGATGGGCATTTAAGTTGATTCCATGTCTTTGCTATTGTGAATAGTGCTTCAGTGAACATTCATGTGCATGTGTCTTTATGGTAGAACAATTTATATTCCTTTCTGTATATACCCAGAAATGGGATTGCTAGGTCAAATAGTAGTTCTGTTTGAAATTGCCACCCTTCTTTCCACAATTGTTGAACTAATTTACACTCCCACCAACAGTGTATAAGCATTTGTTTTTCTCCTGTATTAGGGTTCTCTAGAGGGCTAGGACTAATAGGATATATGTATATTTGAAAGGGAGTTTATTAAGGAGTATTGACTCACATGATCACAAGATGAGGTCCCACAATAGGCCATCTGAAAGCTGAGGAGCAAGGAAGCCAGCCCAAGTCCCAGGACCTCAAAAGTAGGAATGCCAACAGTGCAGCCTTCAGTCTGTGGCTGAAGGCCAGAGAGCTCCTGGCAAGCCCCAGGTGTAGGTCCAAGAGTCTAAAAGGTGAAGAACTTAGAGTCTGATGGTTGAGGGCAGGAAGCATCCAGCATAGGAGAAAGCTGGAGGCCAAAAGGCTTAGCCAGTCTAGTCTTTCCACATTTCTCTGCCTGCTTTTATCCTAGCTGCACTGGCAGCTGATTAGATGGTGCTCGCCCAGATTGAAGGTGGGTCTGCCTCTCCCAGACCACTGACTCAAATGTGAATCTCCTTTGACAACACCCTCACAGACACACCCAGGAACAATACTTTGCAATCTTCAACCCAATCAAGTTGACACTCAATATTAACCATCACATCTCCTCATCCTCACCATCATCTGCTATTTTTTGTCTTTTATGTAATAGCCATTCAGAATGGTTCGAGCTGGCATTTCATTTTGGTTTTGATTTGCATTACTCTAATGATCAGTGATGGTGAGCTTTTTTTCATATGCTTGTTGACCACATATATATCTTCTTTCGAAAGATGTCTGTTCATGTTTTTTCCCACTTTTTAATGTGATTGTTTTCTTGTAAATATTTTAAGTTCCTTATAGATGCTGGATATAAGAACTTTGTCAGATGCATAGTTTGCAAATATTTTCTCCCATTTTTATGTTGTCTGTTTACTCTGTTGATAGTTTATTTTTCTGCAGAGAAGCACTTTAGTTTAATTAGAGTCCATTTGTCAATTTATACTTTTGTTGCAATTGCTTTTGGGGTCTTCCTCATGAAATCTTTGCCCATGCCTATGTCCTGAATGGTATTACCTAGGTTTTCCTCCACAGTTTTTATAGTTTGGTGTCTGTCATTTAAGTCTTTAATCCATCTTGAGTTGTATTTATATATAGTGAAAGGAAGGAGTCCAGTTTTAATCTTCTCCATATGGCTAGCCTGTTATCCCAATATTACTTATTGAGTAGGGAGTCCTTTCCTTATTGCTTCTTTTTGTCAGCTTTGTCAAACAGCAGATGGTTGTACATGTAAGGTCTTTTTTGGGGGCTTTCTATTCTGTCCCATTGGTCTATGTGTACCATGCTGTTTTGGTTACAGTAGCTCTGTAGCATCATTTGAAGTTGGGTAGCATGATGCCTTTAACTTTGTTCTTTTGTCTTAGGATTCTGTTGACTATTTAGGCTCTTTTTGGTTCTATATGAGTTTTAAAAATAGTGTTTTCTAGTTGTGTGAAGAATGCTATTAATAATTTCATAAGAATAGCATTTAATCTATAAATTGTGCTGAATGAACAGTATAGCCATTTTAATGCTATTGATTCTTCCTATCCATGAGCATGGGATGTTTTTCCATTTGTTTGTGTCATCTCTGATTTCTTTGAGCTGTGTTTTGTAGTTATCATTGTAGAGATCTTTCACCTCCCTGGTTAGTTGTAGTCCTAGGTCTTTTATTCTATTTGTGGCAATTGTGAATGGGATTGTGTCACTGAATTGGCTCTTTGTTTGACTGTTGTTGGTGAATAGGGGTGGTAGTGATTTTTGTACCTTGATTTCGTTTCATGAGACTTTGCTAAAGTTGCTTATCAGCTAAAGGAGCTTTTGGGCTGAGACTGGGGTTTTCTAGATATAGAATCATGTCATCTGGAAACAGGGATAGATTGACTTCCTCTCTTCCCATTTGAATGCCTTTTATTTTTTTCCCTTGTCTGATTGCTGTGGCCAGTATTTCCAGTACTATGTTGATTAGGAGTAGTGAGTGAGGTCATGTTTGTCTTGTGCCAGTTTTCAAGGGGAATGCTTCCAGCTTCTGCCCATTCAGTATAATGTTATTAGGTTGGTGCAAAAGTAATTGCACTTTTTGCCATTAAAATTAATAGCTAGTTTTTTGAGAGTTTTTAACATGAAGCAATGTTGAATTTTATCAAGAGACTTTTCTGCATCTAATGAGATAATCATGTGGTTTCCATCTTCATTTGTTTATGTGATTAATCACATTTATTGATTTGCATGTGTTGAACCAACCTTGCATCCCAGGGATGAAGCCTACTTCATCATGGTGGATAAGCTTTTCCATGTGCTTCTGGATTCATTGTGCCAGTATTTTGCCGAGGATTTTTGCATTGTTGTTCATCAAGTATATTGGCCTGAAGTTTTCTTTTTTAGTTGTATTTCTTCAGGTTTTAGTATCAGGATGGCCTCATTGAATGAATTAGAAGAGTCTTTTTTTTTTTTAATTGTTGGAATAGTCTCAGTAGAAATGTTACCATCTCTTCAAACATGTAGTAGAATTCAGTGAATCCTTCTGGTCCTGGGCTTTTGTTGTTGTTGTTGTTGTTGTTGTTGTTGTTGCTGTTGTTAGTAGGTTCTTCGTTTTTGCCTCAATTTCAGAACTTATCAGTCTGTTCAGGGATTTAATTTCTTCCTGGTTCAGTCTTGGGAGTGTGTATGTGTCCAGGAATTTATTAATTTCTTCTAGGTTTTCTAGTCTGTGTGCACAGAGGTATTCCTAATATTATCTGATAGTTATTTGTATTTCTGGGGGGTCAGTGGTAATATCCCCTTTGTCATTTGTAATTGTGTTCATTGGGTCTTCTCTCTTTTCTTCTTTATTAGTATAGTTTGCAGTGTATTTTATTAATTTTTTCAAAAACCAACTCCTGAATATGTTGATCTTTTGAATGGTTTTCTCCCTCAATCTGCTTCAGTTCCACTCTGATTTTGGCTATTTCTTGCATTTTGCTTGATTTGGGATTGTTATCTTGGTTTTCAAGTTCTTTTTGTTGTGATATGCTGTTAAATTGAGATCTTTTTAACTCTTTGATGTGGGAATCTTGTGCCATACATGTCCCTCTTTACACTGCCTTAGCTGTGTCCCAGAGATTCTTGTATGTTGTATCTTTGTCTTTATTAGTTTCAAAGAATGTCTTGATTTCTGCCTTAATTTCACTACTTATGCAAAGGTCATTGCAGAGCAGGTTTTTCAATTTCCATGTAATTGTCTGGTTTTCAGCAATTTTCTTAGTCTTGATTTCTAATTTTATTGTGATGTGGTCTGAGAGTGTGCTTAGTATGATTTCAGTTCTTTTATATTTGCTGAGGAGTTATTTATTTTTGATTATGTGATCAATTTGAGAGTGTGTGCTATGCGGTGATAAAAGGAATGTATATTCTGTTGTTTTGGTATTGAGAGTTCTGTAGATATCTATCAGGTCTATTTGGTTCAGTGTTGAGTTCAGGTCCTGAATATTTTTGTTAGTTTTCTGCCTTGATGATCTGCATAACAGTGTCAATGGGGTGTTATGGTCTCCCACTATTTTTGCATGGGAGTTTAAGTCTCTTTCTTTCAAGGTCTCTAAGGACTTAACTTTATGACCTGGGTGCTCCTGTGTTGGGTGGATATATATTTAGGATTATTTGGCCTTGTTGAATTGAACCCTTTACCATTTATCATGCCATTCTTGGTCCTTTTTGACCTTTGTTGGTTTAAAATCTCTTTTGTCTGAAATTAGGATTGCAACTCCTACTTTTTTCTGTTTTCCATTTGCTTGATAACTTTTCTTCCCCCATTCCTTTATGTTGAGCCTTTGGGTGTCATTGCAGGTGAGATAGGTCTCTTGAAGACAGCACATAATTGGATTTTGGTTCTTTATCTAGCTTGCCACTCTGTGTGTTTTAATTGGGGTATTTAGTTCACTTACCTTCAAGGTTAGTACTGATATGTGTGAATCTGATCCTGACATCATGAAGTTAACTGGTTATTATGCAGACATGTAGTGGAAATAAATTCTCTCAGCATTCACTTGTCTGAAAGGATCATATTTCTCCTTTGCTTAATTTGGCAGTATATGAAATTCTGGATTGGAATTCCTTTTCTTTAAGAATGTTGACTATTGGTCCCCAGTCTCTTCTGACTTACAGGGTTTCTGCTGAGAGGTCTGCTGTTAGTCTGATGGGTTTTCCTTTATAGGTGACCTGACCTTTTTCTCTAGCTGACTGTAACATTTTTTCATTGATTTTCACTTTGGAGAATTTAATGATTATGTGTCTCAGGGATGATCTTCTTGTGAAGTATCTTACTGGGGTTCTCTTCATTTTCCAAATTTAAATTTTGGCCTCTCTAGCTAAGTTGGGAAAGTTTTTATTGATGATATCCTGAAATATGTTTTCCATGTTGTTTCCATTCTTTCCATCTGTTTCAGGGATGACAAGAGACATACATTTGGCCCCTTTACATAATCTCATATTTCTCAGAGGTTTTGTGTATCCCTCTTTATTATTATTTTTTATTCTTGTCTGACTGTCTTATTTCACAAAGCTAAACTTCAAGCTCTGAGACTTTCCCTGGCTTGGTGTATTCTACTATTAGTATTGCAATTGTGTTATGAAATTCTCATCATGTGCTTGTCAGCTCTAGCAGCTTATTTACATTCTTTCTATACTGGCTATTTTGTTTGTCACCTCCCATATCATTTTATTGTGATTGTTAGCTTCCTTGGATTTGGTTTTAATGTGCTCCTGCATCCCAGTGATCTTCATTCCTATACATATTCTGAATTCTATTTCTGTCATATCAGTCATCTCAACCTGGTTTAGAACCCTTGCTAGAGAACTAGCACAGTTGAACCATCCCCATCTGATGGCGGAGACTTCCCTGCAGAGTACAGGTCTGACAGTTTCCTCAGAGTTAAAGTCCCCTATTGGAGTAAGTGAAGCCTCGGGGGGTGGGTATCTCTGGCCACACTCCACTATAGATGCGCTGGCACTAGACCCTTTGGACTCTGTATTGGATGGCATGCAGTCCCTGACACTTCTTTAAGCAGCTCTCCCTGCCAATTCAAGTGTCCATAGTGGTTGAGGGGTCTCTTTCTTCTGGGATTCTAGAGGCCTATGAGGAGAGCAGGTTGCTCCTTGCCAGTTCAACTCATCTGTTCCCCTGGAGTTGATGGGGGCTGGATACAAGTCCTGGTGTGCAGTAGCCCCATGCAGGGTTCTCAGCTTCCTTCTTATTCAGTCCAGCTTCTGTATCTTCCCTCCATACACTCTCAATGTCTTCCCTCTGAAGATCTGTCAGGAGAAAAAATGTCTGTATTTTTGTTGTTTATCTGGAAATATATACATTTATTTTTTATAAGTGAAGATAATTTTAATTGCATAATCATAAATTTTAATGTCATGAGCTTCCTAAATGGGTACATAATTATCACTAAACAAGTGTGGTAATTTATTCAGTTTGTGAGAGTTCTTTTAAAAACAAGTTTTTAGCAATTGAAGAAAATTTGTTTAATTTACATAAATGAGGTGATGTGAGGGCAATTATGAATGGATTTATAGTTTATAAACTACAATTATTTTTCTCTGAGTTTATATAATTTGAACATGCTTTAAAAATAAAACACAATTTTATGTTTTGGTACTGTGCTGTTAATTGAAAAAATATTTCACTATTAAATCAATGTGAATTGTGAAGTATTTTAGTAATGCCAAAATGCTATAAAAGTAATAAACTTTATTTTGGGAAGATATTCTCCATATAAAAATAAATTTATATGGTAACAGTGTTCACTTACAAGATCAATTAGTGATAATTTAATTAAAACAAGCATTAACAGCTTCTTGCACAAGCTTTAAGAGGGAGTAAATGAGGACTTCTGGGTCGTGAATATCATTGCATATGAAAAGAAATACAAACTGGTTCTCCAACACTCATTCTAAAATATTCCAAAGATTCTCTTTTATTGTGCTCCTTATTATCTGATAGACTCAGACCTCAATTAACACATAAAATAAAAATTAGCCGAGCCACATGGATCACGAGGTCAGGAGTTTGAGACCATCCTGGCTAACAAGGTGAAACCCCATCTCTACTAAAAATACAAAAAATTAGCCCGGCGTGGTGGCAGGCACCTGTAGTCCCAGCTACCCGGGAGGCTGAGGCAGAAGAATGGCGTGAATCGGGAGGTGGAGCTTGCAGTGAGCTGAGATCATGCCACTGCACTCCAGCCTGGGTGAAAGAGTGAGACTCTGTCTCAAAAAAAAAAAAAAATTTAATTGATAAGAGCTCTGTTTTCACCCTGAAATTGACAGATTTCTTATTGCTACACCCCATCTTTACTCCTCTCCTGATTTTCAATAGACATAGTGTCTTTTCTCCAATTGAAGAAAAATTATTTTACCTTATAACTAACATTACTCTATTGACTCCCTTAGTTCTCCCTACCTTCAAGAATTTCTTCTTCTCTGAAGTATTTCCATCAAACAGATAAAATATATAAGCATGCCAATCTAAACATGAATACAATAGGTGAATGGATAACAAATGGTAGCATATTCATACAATGAAATACTATTTAGTAATTAAAAAGATATGAGTTACCAAGCCACAGAAGACATGAAGGAAACTGAATTGCACATTTCTGAGTTAGAGAAGCCAACCTGAAAATGCTACATATTGTGTTATTTCAACAATATGGCATTATAGAAAAGGTCAAACTATTGAGACAGTAAAAATATTGGTGGTTGCCAAGCAGAAGAGCGGGATGAATAAGTGCAGCACAGAGGAGGTTCAGGACTGTGAAAACATTTGCTGTTACTGTAATGGTGGATACTTAACATGATGAAGTTGCACCAATCTACATGAAGAGTAAACCCTAATGTAAACTATGAATTTTAATTAAAAGAATTATCAGTATTGGCTCATCAATTATAATGAATGTATCTCAGTAATGCAAGATATTAATAGTAGCAAATACTCTTGTGGCAGGGAGGGTATATAGGAACTCTTTAATTTTGAGTGATTTTTTTTCTATATACATAAAACTTTTCCAAAAAACTAAGTCTATGTATGAAAAAAGTAAAGCAAAATATATTAAAAATATACAAACACACAACTTCTTTAAAGTACATATTCATATATTTATAAACTACATTTTCTTCTTATTACTGGTCAAACTTATGCTGTTTCCATGTCCTCATTTTCTGCTAAATGTGCTGATGCCTTTAGTCTGACTTCTAATTCCACACCATCACAGAAACACCATTCTCTAAGCTATTCAATTACATGTATCTGTCTAAATCAAATGAAAGATTAGTTATCATTTTACTTGACCTCGCAATAGAATTTGGCAATATTGTACTACTCTTTCATTAAATTGTGTGTGTGTGTGTGTGTGTGTGTGTGTGTGTGTGTGCGCTGCTTAGTACTGTCTTGCTTTTCCTTCCTTCAATTTTTTTGGTCCCTTCTCACTGCTCTTGTTTTCAGGCTCATTGTGTTCTTCCTATTTGCAAATTTTTATGGTTTTAAGTTGTTCAGTAAAAATCCTTCTTTGTGTTTATTCTGTAATTTCTTCCGTGGAAAAAATATTGCTTCACTTCTTTATGGCTCAATGTCT
The DNA here is from genome assembly GCF_000001405.40 of Homo sapiens. Lineage (NCBI taxonomy): Eukaryota > Metazoa > Chordata > Mammalia > Primates > Hominidae > Homo > Homo sapiens. The sequence continues at coordinate 24,197,871 of NC_000005.10, read as the reverse complement.
ACTAGTCCTCTCATCTGAGTTTCTAATCAATGACATGATCGACAAACCTATTTGTGGTTTTGAAGTTCCTTCAAATTAGCAAGTATATCCTTAATTTATGTTGTCTTTCAAAATTCAGCCCTCTGTTAGTAAACATCACCATTTTAAATCAAGTGAAAAGAAACAACAATAACAGAAGATTAGTCTGATAACATCTTTCCACCTCACTCCATATCCAAAGGCTTTAGTTGCAAATATTGGGAAACTAGCTGATATAAACCAAGGTCAATGCATTGATAATCTTACTTAATAGTTGTGAGGTTAGGTAGAATCCAGACATACTTTTTTAAGCATACTGATTGTGTTTCTTGGTGAATCTTTTGGCTCTGCCCTTCGCTGTATTTCAGCTTCTATCTGAGATTACAAAAATTCTAACAATCTCATAAACCAGTACATTCTCCATTACTTAGAGCCAGGGTGGAGAGAAAACATCTCTCTCTCTGACAACTATTACATAAAAGCTGTATTTTTTTCTGGTTTGAAAATCTGGGTCACTTGAATCAATCTGAATCATAAACATTACACACAAGGTAGAAAATGTTTTCTTAAACTAATCGAGTTCTATCTTTACAGTTATGACTGGGTTAATCGGGTTAATCGTACCCAAGCAACATAGCTGTAACACAATGAAATAGGTTTGAAGGACTTTTGAAAAGGCAATAGCAATGTCTACAATGTATCACTTGCCAAACACACACACCCGTTTTCTCATACAGACACCTTCAAAAATATCCGTGAATAGATTTGTCATAATCCCACCATTTTCAAAGGGAGAAAAATCAATGTTTATTCCAGATGCTGTGTTAAGCTCTGTTTCCAGGATCTCTGCTGTATCAATATCATCTTAATTGGATTTGTCATCTCTCTTCATATTCCAGGAACATATGACTAATTGCTAAGATATCTACCTCTAAACACACAATCTATAATGAAAAAGAAAGAACAGAATATGTGTGATGGCCCACCTCAGTTAATGTGCTGCCACTTAATGGGATGTTAAAATATTCAGTGTGTCAGGTTAATTGGAAGGTAGGAAGCTTAAATGTTTAGCAAAATAATGAAAGTAGAAAGATAAAAATAAAATAATAAAAGTTCTAAATAATCAAACTAACATGTGATGACCAAAAACATTTTTAAGTAGGACATAATTATATCACTTTTGATATTCTATTTTGAATTATACTATGCTAGAGTAAGGAAGGTGGAGTAATTAGGGCTAATTACTGGGAAAAGCAATTTGAAGATTTCTTGAAGAACTAAAAAAGAATGTATCATTCAACCTAACAATCCTTTTAATGGGAATGTACTCCAAAGAAAATAAATTATTCTGTGAAAAAGAAAAGACACCTGCACTCGTATGTTAATTGTGATACTATTCACAATAGCAAAGACCTGGAATGAACCTAGGTGCCCATCATTTAGGGATTGGATGAAGAAAATGTGTTATACAAGCACCATGGAATAATATGCAGCTGGAAAAAAGAATGAAATCGTGTCCAATGCAGCAACATGGATTCAGCTGAAGGCCATTACAGAAAACCTAATACCACATGTTCTCCCTTATAAATGGGAGCTAAACATTGGATGCACATGGACATACAGATGGACCACAAGAGGGAGGAAAAACCATAGGGGGCAAGGGTTGAAAAGCCTTTGGGTATCTATTGGGTACTATACTCACTGCCTATGTGATGGCTTCAGTGGTACCCCAAACCTCAGCATCATGGAATATACCCTTGCAACAAACCTGCACATCCACACTTTGATTCCAAAATAAAAACCGAATGAAATAGTAAAGTAAAAATTTTAAAATAAAAAAGAAGTCCAGTCATAGTGAAACTCAATATTAAGCAGTTAGATTTGCTCAAAAAGTTCTGACAAAAATTAATAACCGTAACTTTTGGTTGGGACAGTGGAAGAGGCGACAAAATCAAGCACAGAATAGATGTTCTTGAATATTAGTGGGATTTTTTGCATGCATGTCATCATTCACATTTCAAATCTATTATTCATTCTTAGTTCTGAATTTGTGTTCCTACAAAATACGGTAGGAAGAGTACATTCTTTCTAATTAGCTAGATGAATTTGTGTAAAACAGGTGTTTTTTCCTTAAATGTTGGAAGGAATCCACAAGGGAAGCACATGTGCGACTGGGGTTTTCTTTGTGAGAAGATATGAAATTTATGGTTTCAATTTTATTGATAGCACATTATTCAAATTCCTTATTTCTTTTGGTTGCACTTATATCTTTTTAAGAAAATTATTTTTATATCTAAATTAAAATGTTGTAATGTAAATCCAGAAGCTTAAAATATGTATCATCATTCTCAATTCATTGTATATAACACTTGGGCTTCCTAGGATAAAAATATCAATACCAAAACTGTATTGATGTCATTCAAAGTCCATGTGGCCATGCCATTATTTTTTTCGTTAATAACTTTCGCTGTAGTTTCTAGGACAGTTTGTGTTACTGGAATGTCTATTTCAAGGCAGTGTGGAATTAGAAGTAAAGGATAAAATTAATCTTTAATCACCTTTTTCTTGTATGTTGCTATTAAATGAAACAATATTGGAATTAATGGTCATGACGAAACTGAAAACATGTCACATGGCTCAGTGAATCTTTAACAGGTTTAAGAGGGCTTCTATTTCTGCAAATTAATTATCTTCACTGTACCTTTCCTAAGGATCATTTCTGATAGACGCATATTTTCTGAAAATGTAGTTGGAGCTATGGATATCTAAGCATTTAGGGTTTTAGTATTTTATTTGATAAATACAGCAATAAAATGCAAGTGCCCCACGGCAGCAGTTGTGTACTGTTTGTTCACACCGTGCCTTTTTCTGCACTCCACATATATCATCCAGAGAAAAGACATTTTACAGGAAAAGGATATTTTATAGTTTTTGAATAGAAGGAAACATAAAATAAATTAATAATATAAAAAGAAACTGAAGAAAAAAGAATTTTCATGTTTATTGTCATGTGATTTGACATTTGGAAAATCAAATGGGTCTATCTGAAAAGCATGTGATAACTGATGTTTAGAGCTCATGGAATGGGTCATTGACTACTTTATCCAAATGAGTCATGGTCTTTTTTCTACATTGACTAGTTTATACGAATACATATAGAAGGAGTACCTCCTCAGTAAATTTCAAAAGTAAATCCCAGATCACTAATATTCCATTAAGAAGGTTAAATTTAATTGCATGTAGTATTATAGATCTTATCTTTCTATTTCCCCAACTGACAATGAAAATGTAATTATTTTTGAAACAGGATAATATGCTGTAAATGTCTGACCTTTCCACAGTTTAAGCAATAAAGCTCACTCCAGGGTGTTTTGTTGGAGCATAATATTAATATACCTAAGCTACACTGATTTTTGATTAAATATGTTAGCATATTACCAAAAGAATATCCCTGAGGTGTTTTAAAGGATCATCAAGTATCACATGTAGAAGGATTGCTTAATATTTGAGAAAATTAATTTTTCTACAATTTTGTTTCCCTATCCGTATGAAAATTTGTGAACATATACTTTTATTTACATGCTCATTTTAGTATAGAATATAAAATTTCCCCAGCAAAATACAATCATATTTTCATACTTTTGAAACATTGGACATTTCTGTTCCAGTGGATTACTGCAGATAGATAACTATTACACATGTAGGAGAAAACAAATTTTATACTAAAAATTGAAAGGCTTTAAAAATTGTGAATTGATAGTTTCAACTCTATTCATTCTTGTAGTGTAAACAAGCAAAGAAACCAGACATCACACAGTGGGCTAATTCCAAAACTGTTTAAACATGAGCCATTATCACAATTTAATGTCTAATGAATTCTTGCCATTTTCATGCATTCATATTTTGCACTATATAGAAATGTTATCTTTTCTTTATTAGTTGTAAATTACATATGATCCTTAATGAAATATTTATATTTTATTGATAAACCAAAGCCACACTCATGTGCTTTGTGATCTAAAATGTTACAGACATTATAGTACAAGAGCTAACATTCACGAATTAATTTACATGAATTGACATATGTGATTAATTTACCTCGACAAACCCATAAGGTACAGTGATTAGTTAAATATAATATGAGGTTCTGTAACAGATAAGGCCTCAAATAACAGTGGCTTATTAAACAAAATAGATTTTTTTTTTTTATTCATTTGAAGTGTAAGTGAGGGATTTCAAATTAGGACTCATTTCCACTTAGTCATTCAGGGACCCAGGAGGAGTCCTTCACACTTCAACACAATATTGCTGTGAGCTTCAATATTCAATAAGCAAATGGGCAAATGGGGAAGAGCAAGAGACTCACACAAATCGAGTTACAACGAGCCATGAGCCAAGGTCTGTTCACATTTTGCTTATTTTGACTCTGTCACAAGATAAAGCCTCAGAAACAGAGAACATTATTACTGTAGTATAGGGAGATGCATCTTTCATTTGTGCTCTCAGCCACTACCATTTTGCTCTTCTGTTCACCAAGTATCAATTTTATTATCACTTGTTTCCACATGTAGAACATGCTCATTCCTTCCCTGATGAAGATCCAAGGTGTTTCCAACAAGTTTCTGCATCCAATTTAAAAGCTCCAGTTATCTGAGTCTTTTCTATTAAATGGAGGTGTGGCTCTAAATATATGAAGCCGGAAGACTAGGGATTTGTTCTCAGTATATGCAGTATACAATGGTAGAGTACAAGCAAGATGATTGCAATTAACTTCCCCATTATGAAAATAAAATACGGAGACACACAAGAACAATGATGAAATCCTGCTAATGAGAACTCTTGTATGAGAAGTCTTGTTTTCCTAAGAGTAGGGAAAGACATGATTACAACCTAATTCTGCTGTTTGGAAAGAATTCTCTCATTCATTTATTTTTTTGTGGCCCATTGCTCAGCTTTCTGGAATATTCTTTGTCCATTCCTCTGTGGCCACATTTAAAGTGAATATTGAAGCACAAGTCTACTTTTTGTGGGATTTTCATCTCTCTTATTTCTTCTTGTGCATGCCCATTTGAAAACTCGAGGGATTCTTTAAGAACTGTATAGTCAAAATATTTTTTAGTTAGAGTCGGTACTTTCTTTGCCATTATAATTTCTTCAAAATAATGGCATCCTTCTGATTTATTTCCTTCTAGTCATTACCCTACACCATTCTTCAATTCTTGATTTTTTGCAAGTAAGCATACTAGAATTCTATAGTAGAAAAACATTTAAAGTATATTCATTGATTTGCTTTTGAATTCTTTTCTGTGCCTTCATAAAGAAATGACAGCTATCTTGAGGCAATCAGACTTGTGTGGAAAGAAACACCCTTAAACACATTTGTGTCTCCAAGATGAGCTTTAATTGGCTGTTTGAACACCAAGTTTTTTCTTCCAATTTATTTCTGTTCTTCAAGGTGAAAAAAGAGTCACTCTTTCTTTTTTTTTTTTTTTTTTTTTTAAGACAGAGTGTTGCTCTTGTCCCCCAGGCTGGAGTGCAATGGTGCAATCTCAGCTCACTGCAACCTCTGTCTCCCAGGTTCCAGTGATTCTCTTGCCTCAGCCTACCAAGTAGCTGGGATTACAATAGCCTGCCACCACACCCAGCTAATTTTTGTACTTTTAGTAGAGACGGGGTTTCACCATGTTGGCCAGGCTGGTCTCAAACTCCTGACCTCAGGTGATCTGCCCACGTTGGCCCCAAAAGTTCTGGGATTACAGGCATGAGCCACTGCACCCAGCCAAGAGTCAGTCTTTCTAACTGATGAGGCCGCACATTAGTTAGCAACTTCTATTACAATATGTGTTATTATTCGATTTCCAGATGCAAAAAAAAAAGATACCGACTAAAGTTATGTAAGGTACTTAGTGTTCCACAGCTATTAGTACTGAAGGTAATATTTAAACATGGCCATTTTTTCCTAAAGATAGAGTGTTAGGGCATTCTTGCACTGCTATAAAGAAATACCCGAGGCTAGGTAATTTATAAAGAAAATAGATTTAATTGGCTCACAGTTCTACTGTCTGTACAGGAAGCATGGCATCAGCATCTGCTTCTGGTGAGGCCTCAGGAAGCTTACAGTCATGGTGGAAGGAGAAAGGTAGCAGGCATGTCACATGACGAGAGCAGGAGCAAGAGAGAGGAAGACGTTCCAGACTCTTTTAAACAACCAGATCTCACATGAACTAACTGAGGGAGATTGCCAAGTGGATAGTTTAAAATCATTCACGAGAGATCCACGGCGATGATCCAATCCCTTCCCACCAGGACCCATCTCCAACACTGGAAATCACATTTGAATATAAGATTTGGAAGGGACAAACATCCAAACAATATCAGACGCAGCAGACAACAATATCCCTGCTCCACTGTCCCTCAAATTTTTTATCTTTTGCCCATAACATCTCTCTCTATCGGGGCTCAAATGAGCTCAAATGTCCATCTCCATAACACAGAAGTGAAACAGACTTTATCATACCTGCCCCCTCCCACGCACATATTCTTCATCAGTTCTTACTATGGGTGTCATCAGATCCAATTCTTCCTTTATATCTCAATGAAAAAATAGAAGTCCTTTTGCACGTAATTTTGCTGAAAGGCCTTCTGGAAGTGTATGACGTTAACATTTCATCTATACTCACTGGCAAGTCCAAATTTCCTCTTTTTCTCTTTTCTTCCTTTTCTTTAATATGTAATAATAGTTCATTTCTTTTCAGTGCCCACATTTTTGCTTTTGTTATTATTTTCAATTGACATAATAATTTTAAATATTTATGGGGTACAGTCTGTTATTTCCATACATGTACGCTATGTGTAATGAGGGTACTTAGCATATCCATCACCTCTACTATCTAACATTTCTTTGTGCTGGAAACATTTAAAATCTGCTTTTCTAGCTCTTTGAAAATATACATTAAATTGATGTTAATTATAGTCACCCTTTAGTGCTATAATTGAACAATGAGAACACTTGGACACAGGGTGGGGAACATCATACACCGGGGCCTGTTGTAGGGTGGGGGGAGGGGGGACGGGGGAGGGATAGCATTAGGAGATATACCTAACATAAATGACGAGTTAATGGGTGCAGCACACCAACATGGCACATGTATACATATGTAACAAACCTGCATGTTGTGCACATGTACCCTAGAACTTAAAATATAATAAATGAATAAATAAATAAATAGAAACTACTCAGAAAAAAAAAAACCACTGGAACTGATTCCTCATGTTTAACTGTATTTTTGTATCTGGTAACCTTTAAGTCCAAATTTCTCTTAGATAGCCGGAACAGCTTTTGCTATATGTGCAGATCTTTAAACATGTGATAAATTTGTATTTTTGCATTTATATTTTAAAATCTATCCACATATGTTAAGTCTAGGGAAATATATATGTGTGTGCGCATGCACGCATGTGTGTGGCCACATCATATGATATTTCTGTAGCAATTTAGAGTAGAAAAATATTTTGAGTAAAATAATGTGATATATGTATTATATATTTTCTCTTAAAATCATTATCTTCATTTAAACATTGTAATATTTTCTGTGTCCATACTTGGGAATTAGCAGATTCTCAGAAATATTTAAAATGAGCATGTGAGGCCTCAACACTAAAGATCCTAAGTCAGTAAGTCTGGAAGAGAGTCTGCCCCTTGATATACCATATTTTTTTTAAAAAGCTTTGTAGTATATTTTGATATTTCCAGTCGAAAACCAGTGCTTCCTTTAACTGTCTAGTAGGCAGAATATCCCTTCCACCTCAAATGTCAATGCCCTAATTTCTGGAACCTGTGAATATATTATCTTTCATGTCAAAAGAGACTTAGTAAATGTAATTAAAGTTAAGGTCTTCGAGAAGGGGAGATTACCTGGGATTACCCAGGGGGGTACAATCTAATCACATGAATCCTTAAGACCAGAGAGCAATTTCCTGCAGTGGTCAGAGGGAAGTGTCACTATGAAAGGAAATCAGTGAGATTTATTATTATTATTATTATTAAATTATTTTTTGAGACATCATCTCAAAATAGTATTAAATCATTCTTTGAGACTCTGTCCCCCAAGGTGGAGGGCAAGTGGCATGATTATGGCTCACTGCAGCCTCGACCTCCAGGGCTTAAGTGATCCTCCTGCCTCAGCCTCCTGAGTAGCTGTCACTACAGTCACACCCCACCACGCCTGGCTTATTTTTGTATTTTTTGTAGAGCCTGGGTTCCTCCGTGTTGTCCAGGCTGGTCTTAAGGAATCTGCCCTCCTTATCCTCCCAAAGTGCTAGGATTATAGGTGTGAGCCATCACACCTGGCCCAAGATGTATTAATTATTAATCACTGGTTTTGAGGATGATGGAAGGGAACATGGAGCCAAAAGGAATATGGGTGGCCTCAGGAAACTGAAAAAAAGAAAGTAAATAGATTATCTCTTACAGTCTCCCTCCAGAAAGGGATGCAGCTCTACCTATTTGTTGATTTTAGCCCAGTGAGATCTGTGTTAAGACTTCTAATGTACACACCTGTAAGGTAATAAATTTGACTTGTTTTAAGCAATTAAATTTGTGGTAATTTGTTGTAGTATCAATAGATAACTAATACTCTGTCATTTTGCATATTACTTCACCTTAATACCTGATTTTATTCTATTTCTTTTTAGATGGATATAACATTTGTATTTAGAAAAGGAAAATAATACCCTAATATCAGCACCCATCTTATTTTTAAATAAATATTGCATGGAATTTTAGGTTTTTACATAACTGTGGATGGTGAGTGAATTTTTTTATTGCCTCCAAGATGGCAATTGGGATACAAAGCTGAGGGCAGAAGACATACCTCCTATCCTAAAGTAAGACAATGATATGAGACATTTTCTCCAGGGCTTATTTACCAACTTAACTTATGCTGTGACTTACAACTTTCAACCTATTTTCCCTTTCTGTCCATGTAAGCAAAGAGCTTAGGAGGAGGATGAGACAGAAAAAAATCATTGGACTCAGAGTTGCTTTTTTGTGGAATGTTGTTTGCAGCACGTAGGAGCTGCTCAAGAAAACCACCAGCAAAGTTTTTTCATGTCTAAAGAGGGGATGCTAATGCTCCTTCTCTGATGCTTGATATATAGTCACCTAAATAAATGATTCCAGCTGTGGGACCTTATTTAGAGAGGAAGTTCTTCAGAGAATTTGACATGGGCCTCTTTCAGCGTGAGAGCTTTTGTGAACATAGAAGCTGATGTCTTCTTCTCAGTTTGATATTCCTGAAAGCAGAATTGTTGATGTGGCCTGCATCAGTGTACTATGGTAGAAATGGGAACAGAAAGAAAGGAAACTTAGAACTTCTCATGGAACATTAAGAATGAACTTTGTGGTGAAGGCAGAAATTGTAAGCGTATGATGACAGAAAAGATATTCTCCATTGTGCCTATTTTTAGCATGGGCTTGGTTTACAGGAAGTATGTGATGAATATGGTATGAATCTTTGCTCTGTAATGCGAAAGGCGGAATAAAAACGCACAACAACGTTCATTAATCAAGTGCAAACATAGAAAATATGTTTTTTAATTTAATTTTTTTTATTATACTTTAAGTTTTAGGGTACATGTGCACAACGTTCAGGTTAGTTACATATGTATACATGTGCCATGTTGGTGTGCTGCACCCATTAACTCGTCATTTAACATTAGGTATATCTCCTAACGGTATCCCTCCCCTCTCCCCTGACCCCACAACAGGCCCCAGTGTGTGATGTTCCCCTTCCTGTGTCCATGTGTTCTCATTGTTCAATTCCCACCTATGAGTGAGAACATGCGGTGTTTGGTTTTTTGTCTTTGCGATAGTTTGCTGAGAATGATGGTTTCCAGCTTCATCCATGTCCCTAAAAAGGACATGAACTCATCATTTTTTATGGCTGCATAGTATTCCATGGTGTATACGTGCCACATTTTCTTAATCCAGTCTATCATTGCTGGACATTTGGTTTTATACCCTAATTACAGCACACCAAATTGTCACTAAAGTAATGCATGTTTTAATATAAAATTAAAAAAAATGTTTCATAGCTCATACATGAGTATGCAGGAAAATGTTAATTGCCTGAAAAGACAGTCATAGTTAAAAATAAGAATTACACAGACATAACTAAATTAATCGATAATGATAATAATGGGTATAAACATGGACTTTTATTACTATATGATAAATCACTAAAAATTGATTTTGTTTCAACATAGCCACACTTTTTAAAATATGATATTTATCTTCAAATGACCTTTCCTAAGAAACAAAATATCCATAGTTATGTAAACATATTGCTAAATAGTTTCATGCTTGGGTAGCTTTTTTTCTATTTAAAATTCATTACTTTGTACACTTAAATGGCAAGATATAAACTATCTAAAATATAGCAGTCATTTGTTCTTTTGGCTTAGGATTGACTTGGCAATGCGGGCTCTTTTTTGGTTCCATATGAACTTTAAAGTAGTTTTTTCCAATTCTGTGAAGAAAGTCATTGGTAGCTTGATGGGGATGGCATTGAATCTATAAATTACCTTGGGCAGTATGGCCATTTTCACGATATTGATTCTTCCTACCCATGAGCATGGAATGTTCTTCCATTTGTTTGTATCCTCTTTTATTTCATTGAGCAGTGGTTTGTAGTTCTCCTTGAAGAGGTCCTTCACATCCCTTGTAAGTTGGATTCCTAGGTATTTTATTCTCTTTGAAGCAATTGTGAATAGTAGTTCACTCATGATTTGGTTCTCTGTTTGTCTGTTATTGGTGTATAAGAATGCTTGTGATTTTTGCACATTGATTTTGTATCCTGAGACTTTGCTGAAGTTGCTTATCAGCTTAAGGAGATTTTGGGCTGAGACGATGGGGTTTTCTAGATATACAATCATGTCATCTGCAAACAGGGACAATTTAACTTCCTCTTTTCCTAATTGAATGCCCTTTATTTCCTTCTCCTGCCTGATTGCCCTGGCCAGAACTTCCAACACTATGTTGAATAGGAGTGGTGAGAGAGGGCATCCCTGTCTTGCATCAGTTTTCAAAGGGAATGCTTCCAGTTTTTGTCCATTCAGTATGATATTGGCTGTGGGTTTGTCATAGATAGCTCTTATTATTTTGAGATACGTCCCATCAATACCTAATTTATTGAGAGCTTTTAGCATGAAGGTTGTTGAATTTTGTCAGAGGCCTTTTCTGCATCTATTGAGATAATTATGTGGTTTTTGCCTTTGGTTCTGTTTGTATGCTGGATTACGTTTATTGATTTTCGTATGTTGAACCAGCCTTGTATCCCAGGGATGAAGCCCACTTGATCATGGTGGATAAGCTTTTTGATGTGCTGCTGGATTTGGTTTGCCAGTATTTTATTGAGGATTTTTGCATCAATTTTCATCAAGCATATTGGTCTAAAATTCTAAGCCAAAATAACAAAGCTGGAGGCATCATGCTACCTAACTTCAAACCATACTAGAAGGCTACAGTAACCAAAACAGCATGATACTGGTACCAAAACAGAAATATTGACCAATGGAACAGAACAGAGACCTCAGAAATAATGCTGCATATCTACAACTATCTGATCTTTGACAAACCTGACAAAAACAAGAAATGGGGAAAGGATTCCCTATTTAATAAATGGTGCTGGGAAAACTGGCTAGCCATATATAGAAAGCTGAAACTGGATCCCTTCCTTACACCTTATACAAAAATTAATTCAAGATGGATTAAAGACTTAAATGTTAGACCTAAAACCATAAAAACCCTAGAAGAAAACCTAGGCATTACCATTCAGGACATAGGCATGGGCAAGGACTTCATGTCTAAAACACCAAAAGCAATGGCAACAAAAGACAAAATTGACAAATGGGATCTAATTAAACTAAAGAGCTTCTGCATGGCAAAAGGAACTATCATCAGAGTGAACAGGCAACCTACAGAATGGGAGAAAATTTTTGCAACCTACTCATCTGACAAAGGGCTAATATCCAGAATCTACAATGAACTCAAACAAATTTACAAGAAAAAAACAAACAACCCCATCAAAAAGTGGGTGAAGGATATGAACAGACACTTCTCAAACGAAGACATTTATGCAGCCAAAAAACACATGAAAAAATGCTCATCATCACTGGCCTTTGGAGAAATGCAAATCAAAACCACAATGAGATACCATCTCACACCGGTTAGAATGGCAATCATTAAAAAGTCAGGAAACAACAGGTGCTGGAGAGGATGTGGAGAAATAGGAACACTTTTACACTGTTGGTGGGACTGTAAACTAGTTCAACCATTGTGGAAGTCAGTGTGGCGATTCCTCAGGGATCTAGAACTAGAAATACCATTTGACCCAGACATCCCATTACTGTGTATATACCCAAAGGATTATAAATCATGCTGCGATAAAGACACATGCACATGTATGTTTATTGCGGCACTATTCATGATAGCAAAGACTTGGAACCAACCCAAATGTCCAACAATGATAGACTGGATTAAGAAAATGTGGCACATATACACCACGGAATACTATGCAGCCATAAAAAAGGATGAGTTCATGTCCTTTGTAGGGACATGGATGAAGCTGGAAACCATCATTCTCAGCAAACTATCCCAAGAACAAAAAACCAAACACCACATATTCTCACTCATAGGTGGGAATTGAACAATGAGAACACATGGACACAGGAAGGGGAACATCACACACTGGGGACTGTTGTGGGGTGGGGGGAGCGAGGAGGGATAGCGTTAGGAGATATACCTAATGCTAAATGACGAGTTAATGGGTGCACCACACCAACATGGCACATGTATACATATGTAACAAACTTGCACATTGTGCACATGTACCCTAAAACTTAAAGTATAATAATAATAAAATAAAAATAAATAAAAATAAACAAAATCTAGCAGTCATTTAAAATGCTGGTTCTTCCCAATAGTCAATATATGACATGATGGAATTAAAATGAAATAAAACACATAAAGTAGTTCAGAATTGAACTGTTTATGTATGCTCAGATGTGAAATAATGACATTAGCACTTAGTAACTTTGCAAATAGCATTGTATGGTTTGACATAAGAACAGAATGGCCCTGTTCATAAATATATGGTGATGATTCATTTAAAAATAGTGTTAACATCTGAGGTGCTTAAGAAAATAAGCATATACTGAAAACACATCTATGGAGGTGAGCTGTGTGCTCCTGCTAATTTTAGATGGATTTACTTAAATCTAGGAATTGGCTGGCTGACAAATGATCTAGGTTGGTGAATAACTGAGGTAACTCAATTCTGTTCCATGTGTCTCTCTTCTGCCTTCCTGAAACCAGTAGGCTATCTTGAAAATGCTCATCTCATAGCACTGGCAGAAAGTAAGAGCACAAGCAGGAATGCATAAGCCCCTTTTTATAGCTTCTGCTTGCCTCATAACTGGTCAATAATCTGTCTGCCAAAGCAGGTCATGAAACCAGGACAAAGTCAGAGTGAATGGGCACTGCAATGTTACACGGCAAATATGATTGTGGGGAGGGGTGAAAATTGATGACTTTTGTATAACATAGTCAGACTTTAGCTGCAATTATTCATATCTCCGTCACATTGCAAAATAGTCTTATCCTTATTCCAGAAACCCCAAATATTCTCATCACTGCAAGGAAATAGTCCAGGAATGTGTCATCTATATCTATTTCATAAGTAAGTTCTCTTGATTTGGGGAATCTGTGAACTAAAAGGACAATGTATCAGCCTCAACAATCAACAAACATTGGCAAACAATGGCAATAAACACTCCTGCTTGAAACACAGAAGAATGGGAGGTACATGGCAGTATTGTCTCATAGAAACTTTTCAATCTCACCAGGCAATTTTTGCCAGGTCTTTTGCACCAGTGGTAAGATGTGTACTGTGGTTAGGCCTTTGCTCTGTAACCTGGGCTTGCTTCCCCACTTGATTGTATGTAATGAGCCATGGCTATGTTCTATAGGACAGTCATAGTTATTTTTTCCATCACCCTTCTTAACCAGTTGTGAAAATTATGTTAGGAAATGTATCCTTTAAGCAAACTTTCAGCCTATCTCTTAACAGTAGAAATATGGGAGAAGAAGCAAGTATGATTTTTAACTTGTAAAGTATCTCAAGCCCTTTTAGTTCAAGTTAGCACCACTTTAATCAGTACAAGCAGACTCAAAAACTTTGTAGGTATTCTCATGAATTTATTCCATGCCTGTTGGCAAAACTCACATGCATCATTGTGTTTGAGATATTTCTTTCCATAGATTTCATCTCTGCCTTTCGGGTCATGGCAGGCTGCTAGAAAATCACACTACAAAGAGTCCCGCAGCCCTTTTGGTACAACTGAGAGACTCCACTGGGTATTCAGAATTCTTAACTAAAGGGCCCATGGACATACCTTAGATGTGATATTTTCCATCAGTTGTTTTCTTACATTGAAAATCCTTTATTGGTGTGAGAGGCAGGGCTGAGAGAATAAGCACAATTTGTATTTGTCAACCTAGAAAGTTCTAGATCCTCTTTACTTGCTCTAAATGATGTTTGAAGGCTGCCTTTTTGTTTTGTTTTAAGCTCAACTCTGTGAAAATTGGAGGTCAGACATGTGAGTTACTTCTCTAAAAACAACTTTATTGAGGTATAATTTACATATCATAAAATCACTCATTTAACGTGACAGTTCAGTGATTTTTAGTAAACTTACCAACCTGGGAAACCATAGTTTTAGCATAATTATATCACTCTGATAAGATTCCTAATGCATATTGACACATGATCTCATTTCCACTCACAACTGCAGATGACTACATTCTGTCTCTACAGACTTGTCTTTTTAGGACGCTTGATAGAAACAAAATAACAAAATATGTGGTCTTTTCTACCTGACTTCTTTCACTTTGGTATAATGTTTTTGAGTTTCATCCATGTTGTGCCAATGATTAACTTTTTGAACATGTCTGCACACACACACACACTCACACACACATATATGTACACACACACACCTAACTACTTTATTGGGGGTGAATTCGCAATTCTTGTCTTTTATACTTATTTTTTCTATCTTTTCCTCAAAATTTCAAGAGACTTTAAAGAATAGCATGTGCTATTCATGTATATGTGAAACATGTCACAAATATTTTCTCCCCAGTTTATTATATAGCTTTGTTTGCTTATTTTTTTTATTTACAACTTTCTTATTGTCTAATTTATAAGTATTTATTTCTAATGCCTCCAGATTTTGATATATAGTTAGAAAACATTTTTCTATATTCAAGGATTATATAGATCCTCTTGGAGGGGATAATTGATTGATAACTTTTTTAAATGTTTCTATTAAAATTGCTTTAAGTTTTCTATGTTGAATGGGGCCAATTCTGCTAAAATAAAGTTCCCCAGGAAATTCTTCACTTCATTTTTTATAATGAAGTATATTTCTCTAGATTTCTACAAATAATTATTTTATACTTTTATTATTCTGTTTTTTCCCCTTGTGGAATGTTTACATCAACCTTGTAAACCCAGTACAAACATAGTTTATTAACTGATTGGACTGAAAAGTTTAGCTCCTCCAATGCTGATACAGTTAACCCTCTTTGTGTGACATTGACATCATTGACATTCTCAATGGTTATTTTATACAAAATGAAATAAAATTCAGGCTACATCTAAAATGCAAGATGTGGACAGTAATCAAAAGAGTGTGTAGAAGAACGCTGACAAATGTCCAAATCTTAGGGTTAAAGTAAAAGGGATTTAATATAACTATTATGACTATAATACAAACAAAGTCAAATATGGACAATATGGATGAAAAGAGCATAACTTCCAAGAGTACTGGACCAATTAAAAAAATAAATTGGTATTTACTATGCAACGGGGAAAGCGAGAAATCACTCTACAGCTCTTGAGGCTTCAGTATGCTCAGAGCCGGGACTGGGAAGCAAAGAGACTTCTGCAGTTAGCTAATGTTGCTGGGTCTGTAGATTTTAAGTATGTACTCCATTCTGTAAAAGTAAAATTCTTACAGAAACCTGTTCTGGCAAGTTCTCAGAGCCCACTGCCTCAAAAAAAAAAAAAAAAAAAATCACTGATGCATCAGTGAATGTATTATTTTTCCTTCAAAATGAAGTTGCCTGTTGTCCTATTTTTGTTATTGTTGTTGTTCATCTAGGGTCTTTTTTTTCTTTTCTTTTTTTTTTAGAGGAAAAGTTGCTGCATTTCTAAATCAGATGAAATACATATAAACAACACAGTTCTGTTTGGAAGTCACCTCCTGTGTAAAATTAAATATCAGAAATGTCTACTTTAAGAAACACCTATTTTCAAACTTGGTGATTGCAATCAATTTACAGTCTAAAAAATGTGTTCTAAAGGCGGGAGAAAACCTCAAAGATAGACCAATAGCTCATTTATAATTTTACATAAAAATTGTTTTTATGAAGGCAAAGAACATGCAGCAGTTGCTATAGAATGAGATGTGGAATGAGGCATTAGACTAATAGTAATATTTGTAAAACAATTAAGGGAAAACATGGGAAAATGAGAAGAAAGAAAAAAATGTTTAAAAATAGGCATTAATGGTACAGCAGTAGCAAGTATATTTGCTTCTAATTTACTGCTCAGATTTAAGTAAAATGATGATCAAGTAAATAGTCTATTAAAAACAAAAACACCAAACTAATTTCTGTAGCAGACCTTTGTATATATGACCAGAGAGGAGCGACTTATACACTACTCTAATGCCTTTATAGACTAAAATATTTGAAACCTTGAAAAGCGTACAAAGGATCCCCTGAATTAGGGGAAGAATCAAGGTTCAAATTTAAGTGTGCAATAATATGATTAATTCCTTTGTGAGAGATTGTAATCTCTGTGGATAAGAATGTTTTTTGAAAAAAATATATCATCTAGAATTTCAGAATATCAGGGTGTCATTTTCACAGCAAAGTTTTAATTGGTGTATGTCAAAACAGTTATCCCACAAACTGCTGTTGTCTGAGATTAATTTGAGAATTCATGATAAAGTTTCTAGTCAGTTATTGCCATTCCAGCAACCAGATCTTGATGTCTCTTGATCCTTATGCGTGGGTAGAATTTCTTTGTTAACACACTTGATAGCCACTGCATTTCATATTCCAAACTCCCTTTTCCTTTGAATAATCAATACCATATAGAATCAAATTATATCTTGTCCTCTTTTGCCTCTGAATCAGTATTGTTTAAAGACTGCATATTTTGTCACCATAAATTTCCACCTCATCTCCACTATCATGTTAATCCGTGGGACTAGAACTTTTGTTCTCTTAGCATGTGCTGCTCATTGTCCCCATTTGGTATGTATCAAGTTGCCTCCTTTTTTTATTTATAAGATTTGAAGATCCTTTCGATGGAAGGTTACAACACAATGACACTTTAGATAAAAGAAAGGCAGAGGCCGAGCACGGGCACAGTGGCTCACGCCTGTCATCCCAAAACTTTGGGAGACCGAGGCAGTAGATCATCTGAGGTCAGGAGCTCGGGACCAGCCTGGCCAACACGGTGAAACCCTGTCTCTACTAAAAGTACAAAAATTAGCTAGACATGGTGGCGGGCGCCTGTAATCTCAGCTAGTCAGGAGGCTGAGGTAGAGAATCGCTTGAACTCAGGAGGCAGTGGTTGCAGTGTGCCGAGATTGCACCATTGCACTCCAGCCTCAGTGACAGACACTGTCTCAAAAAAAAAAAAAAAGGCAGAATATTTTGTTATTTACAACCTCAAAGAAAAAAGCTACCTGGCAGGGCCACACAGAGGTGCCCTCCATGAAGCATAACAGCAAACTGAAGCCATAAGGGAATGTTTATGTATAGCAAATAGGGTAAGCACAGCTAGGTTTCCTGGGATCCTTGTGGATTGGCTAATTTGAAGAAACTTGGCAGGCCTTGGACACACAGTTGTCCTTAGTTGTCTGGTACCTGGTCTCAGCTCAGTTAGGGCTGATACATAGTAAAAATTTTGTTTTAATTAGTGTGGCTTTATAACATATTTTGAAATATACTGTGATGTATATAACACAAATATATTGTGATGCCTCCACCTTTGCTCTTCTTTTGCAAAATTTATTCTATTGTTTGTGTCAATCTGTGGTTTCATATACATTTTAGAGTTGCTTTTCCTATTTCTATAGAAAATGCCACTGGAATTTTATTAGGTATTACATTGAATCTGTATATTGTTTTGATAATATGGACATTTAAACAATATTAAGACTTCCAATCCATGAATATGGGATGTCTTTCCATTTAGTTGTGTCTTATCTAACATTTTCATCCATGTTTTGTAGGTTTCAATGTACAAATCTTTCACCTTCTTCATTAAGTTTGAATTCATAAATATGGCACAAATGTGCAGGCAACTAAAACATCAATAGATGAGTGTAACTGTGCCAAACGGAAAAGCTTCTGCACAGCAAAGGATAAACAGAATGAAAAGGCAAACTACAGATTGGGAGGAAATATTTGCAAACCATATACCTTATAAAGGGTTAATTTCCAAAATATATAATGAACTCCTACAACTCGATAGCAAAAACAAACAAACAAGACATAACAAAACAAGATAAACCAAAAACCCTAATAATACAATTTAAAAATGGGCCAAAGAGTTGAATAGATATTTCTCTAAAGAAGACATATGAGTGGCCAAGAAGTATATAAGAAGATGTTAACATTACTAGTCATCAGGGAAATGCATCAAAACCACAATTAGATGTCACTTCACATTTGTTAGGATAGCTATTATCAAAAATGAGAAATACAAGTATTGGCCAGCATGTGGAGAAACTAGAACTCTCATGCACTGTTGGTGGGAATACAAAATGATGAGCCACTATAAAAAACATTGTGGAGGTTGCTCAAAAAATTGAAAATAGAACTATGATATGATCCAGCAATCCCACTTGTGGGTATATATCTGAAAAATAGCATGAGAATCTTGAAGCGATATTAACACTTCTGTATTCATTGTGGTACTATTCACAAGAGATAAGATGTGGAAACAACCCAGATGTCTATTAAAAATGGATTAGCACATAAAGACAATATGGTATATACATGCAACGGAATATAGCTAGCCATACAAAAAAGGAAATTTGTCAATATGTGACAACATAAATGAAGCTGGAGGAGATTACGCTAAGTGAAATAATCCAGTCAGAGAAGGACAAATACTCCATGATTTTACTTGGAGAAAACATTGAAAATAGTCAAAATCTTATAATCAAAGGGTGAAATGGTGGCCGCCAGAGGCTGGGTGGAGAAAAAAATGGGGAGTTGCTAATCAATGAACATAAAGTTTCAGTTACCAAGATGATTCAGCTCTAGTGATCTACTTTATAACACTGTACCTGTAGTTGACAATGATGTATTGTACACTAAAATTTGTTAAGAGGGTGGAGCTCATACTGTGTGTTTAGCACAATAAAATAAAAATTTTAAAAAGATGATGTGTTACTTAGGCTTTTCTAAAATAAAAAAAAAAACAACAAAGTCAAAACCTAAAGCATTCTAAGAATTTATTTTGAGTAGGAAAAAAAATCAATGCAGAGAATTGGATGCTTTTTTCTCCCTTGTAAAGTTGCATTTGTATATGTCAAAGAGATTGTTAACTAGCCTCAGAGATCTAAAAATTCAAGAATGTGAGAAAGCCACCTGCAATGGCACTAGTTGCTTGAATTCTCAAAGCGGGTGATTCACAGGAACTCACTTGGATGCTGCTGCCAACGTCATGTCTGCCAAATGCCTGCGCATCTTGCTACAGCTGTACTGGAATTCTTGTTTTCTTCTGACTTTTAAATCTCTCTTTATTGAATCCCATTGGCTGAATCCAAGCTAGACATCTGCTTGAAAGTGATTCCAAGAGATGGAATTCTTCGACTCTCCACTGTGATGCAAGAAATGGTTTAGTGGAGCATGGAAGAAGCTCAGCTGAAAACAGATAATCCAGGAAAGAAGGGTTAATAATTGTGTTTGGAAAAAAGTAATTTTAAGCATGTTTACAGAAGGAGTGTTTCATAAATACATTGTAGTCAGTTCAGAATCAGTCTAAAACTATACTGACTTGCAATTCTCTCTTCCAAGATAGGAACTATCATTAAAAACTTTATTTCTATCCTAGACCTGAGTATACTTCCAGTCACCTGGTGTTAAATGTGGAAACTACTCTCTTTCCTATCCGTTTTCTACTTCTTTTATTTAATTAGAAACCAAGTGACACATCTATGAAAGCATGTGCACACACACTCACAGACACACAGATGTGAACATGCATTTTTGCACTGCAGTGTGTGTTTACATTTATTCTATCTACCTATTTATAGCTGCTTTTCCAAAGCAAGAACTCAACTACCTAGAATATTGCAATACATGGAAACTCCAGCTTTTTGCCATTTAGATAACCTTATAAAAAAGTCAGAATTAATTTATTTCAATAATTTTCTGTTTCTTGCAAACACATTTAACTTTTCCATCTGAACCTCAAGTCCTGTCCTCTATAACCTAGTCCCACTCCACTTAGACAAATTTTTCTTCTATTATTTCCTGGAGTGGAATATCTGCTAAAATAAGGTCTCCCTTTTTGCATTTTTTCACATGTAATGTATGGTTCATGTGTGCTGTTTCACATACCTGGAATTTGTTTCCTCTCTTTTCAGTGTGTGAAAATAACTTCTACATTTTGAAGACTAGGCAATAGGTTTTACTTATCTCTCCTTTTCACCATTTTTTTTAACTACAGAATATGCAAAACCACCTTACATCATAATAAATAATATTCTCTGTAAATTTTAGCATGTTAGTTTAAGCAGCCATAAGATTGTAGATATTGAGTTTAAGGGCCACCTGTACATCATTTTACCCTCTATGATATCTTTTATTCTTATAAATTTTCAAAGATATTAAAACATATTTACTATATTGAAAGTCAGAAATTCTGAAGGAAAACAAAATATGTGTGTTTTTATCTTTCATAATTCACAAAGTGTGTCAGAAATTTTGAGCACATGTGTGATCAGTTAGGTCATATTTTTTTAAGATATTGCAAAACACTGGAAATGGGAATAGAGATTACTTATTAACAGCCTGTATTACATTTTACTTTGTAGATATTTTTTCTTGACATTCAACAGAAGATTTCTCTAAGGAAAAAAGTAGCCAGATATCATGTTTCTAACTCAGAAGATTATCAGGTAGTTAATACTGGAAACACAGACAGTAAAATTTAAATTTGAAAAGCATAATACAAATTATTTAAGAAGTGAGATGTAGATCATTATTGATTAAGATAAACTAATCATTGAAAAAATGCTAAGCAAGTTAAAGTTTTGAAGTCAGTGACTGGAAAATATCCCAATTTTGATGGAAAGCAAGGATCTGTTAAATGAGGTCAGAGAATATAAAATCCTGACTAATAAATAAAAGTTATCAGAATCACCGATAGGTATTTAAAGAGATCATTTAATTTGGGAGTTTATTTTTTAGAGTATAATTTTAAAAGTTTCCACAAAAATATAATTTACCACATCTTTTAAAGGGTCATCTAGAGATAATGTTATACATGCAAATGAAATGGCAAATTTGCCTTAGTGAGTAAGGACAGCATTTAAAAAATACTAAGTCTATAGAGAATTCTGTGTTACAATTGTATCCCTTTGTATTACACCTTAATTTTGAGAACTTGTAGAAGGGAACTCATGTTTTTAAAATATACATAGAAAATATAGAATAAGAGAGCATATATTCAACCTATATATTTTTTTTTTTTTTGAGAGGAAATCTCACTTTGTTACCCAGGCTGGAGTGCAGCAGCACAACCTCGGCTCATTGCAACCCCCACCTCCCAGGTTCAAGCAGTTCTCCTGCCTCAGTCTCCCAAGTAACTAGGATTACAGGTGCATGCCACCACACCCGCTAATTTTTGTATTTTTAATAGAGATGGGGTTTTGCCATGTTGGCCAGGTTGGTCTTGAACTCCTGACCTCAAGTGATCCACCCGCCTCTGCCTCCCAAAAGTGCTGGGATTACAGGCGCAAGCCACCACACCTGGCCTCAACCTATACTTTTTAACAATAAATATTTATATATATCTTAAGACTGAGGTAGAGATTGTGAAGTTGGGATACAAGGAAAAAGAGTTCAAAAATATGTCTTTAGAAAATATTTTAAAACATTTGTGAGAAATTGATAATGATATAATATTCAAATACCATTAAATATAACAAGGACACAAATATACTTTCCCATATGATGTATTTGTGTTTATGTCTAGCTAGTTACAAAGATGACTTTTGCATTTCTTAACATCCCCAAGCTTTCAGGTTTGGAAACTTAAAACAGCATCTAGGTAACTAGGTTATCTATTTGAAGCTGCCAATATCTTCTATAATTTTATGAAATGATTTTGGTAAAGATCCTATTTTAAGATATGTGTTACTATGTTTACATAGATTTTCTTAACAGTAGTGATGACAGAGTATCAACTTGGTTGGTTGCAGAATCTAATAAGTGTTTTATGTATCTATCAATTGGATATATAGATTACTCCCTTTAACAAATCTAATTATACAATAGCAAACCTACCTTATCCTGTATATGTGTGTGTGTGTGTATATATATATATATATATATATATATATATATATATATATTTGTTCCTTTCATGTACACATATATATGTGTGTATCTTTTAAGAGAAAGGGAGAGAGAGAGAGAGAGAGAGAGAGAAAAGTAGGTGTAAAATATTAAAATATAAAATCATTTTCTCAAAAACCGAAGTTAATAAAATAAGGAAAATTTGAAATTTGAATGGAGCTATGGAGCTTTTGGACAGTTGTTCAACATTCTCACATAACTTCTATGTGCTAAGCAACTTCTGATCAAATTTAAATCAATTACTAAACAGTACACTTTCTTTATAATTGAATTATATTTATTTCTCTAAGGCAATAATTTCTTTTATTTTTCTCCTGAATTGATCATTATTTGTGTTGTAATCTAGCATTTCTGTGTGTTTGTGTTATGAGGGACAGAATAATGTTTGTGGATATACTGAAAAGATGTTTGGTGGAGATATTTTTTCATTAATTATGTTATAGTTTGCTTTCTTTGTGTTTATTTGCGTGTTTGCTCTTCCTTTTGAAAATGCAGATTGATTACTTAAATAGGCATTGGAACAAAATGTAGAGTTAATTTCTCATTGAAATGTATATGGCTGGGTGTGGTGGCTCAAGCCTGCAATCCCAACACTTTGAAAGGAGGCCAAGGCAGGAGAATTGCTTGAGCCCAGGTGTTTGAAAACTAGCCTGGGCAACAGAGTGAGAACCATCTCTACAAAATAAATAAATAAAAGTTAGCAGAGTATGATGATGTGGTGATGTACGTCTGTGGTCTCAGCTATTTGGGAGGCTGAGGCAGCAGAATCACTTGAGCCCAAAAGGTTGAGGTTGCAGTGAGCTGTGTTCATGCCACTGCACTTCAGTCTGGGTAACAGAGAGAGATCCTGTTTCAAAAACAAGAAATGTATAGTAATAACAAATCAAATTACCTACTAACATATTTACAAATATTTGTGGATAAAAAAATTCATAGCTATATCTAGACCCACTTTTCTAATTCTTTCATATTCACTTCCACCTTTGTTTAAGCAAAGTGTCCAACCAAACAGGTGCCCAACATTTTAGTTATCTAATTCAAAAAGTATAGCATAATAAATAGTCCAAATTAAAATATAACTAAGCTTACAATAGATTTGTTTTGAAAAAAAGATATTTAAAATAATTTTCTGAATTAGTTAACCACTAAATTGCTTGAAAATTATTAATATTAAATACTGTCAGAATTCAAGGCAAAAAAGGAAGCTATTACTAGTGGCTTCAAAAGAAACTGCTGTATACAAGTCACTGAAAAAAGCTTAGAGTGCATACATTGTACAACTATCCTATAAGAAGTTATATAAGAAAACCTAATCTATTATCAACATATATATATGTAATCATGAATACTAGCTTTGTGGAAAGATAGAAAATCAGACATCAAAGAGTTGTCTCAATTATCTCAAAACTTTTAAATGGAACTTGTTCTTAAATTCAGTCAAAATATTTTGCTGATGATAACTGTCAAATATAATGAAAATATAGAAAAATGTATCATAATATTTTCATAGAAAGTCTGTTTTAATCCACTTGATATAAT
This sequence comes from Homo sapiens, assembly GCF_000001405.40. Classification (NCBI taxonomy): domain Eukaryota; kingdom Metazoa; phylum Chordata; class Mammalia; order Primates; family Hominidae; genus Homo; species Homo sapiens. The sequence goes on along the minus strand of NC_000005.10, from coordinate 24,173,576 downwards.
GTATACTTTATCAACTTGTATGTTAACATAGAAATACAAGTATTTTCTCAAAATTTGTCTAAACACAACTAAACAAATGCTAAGTAAAACTGCTGTTTAAAGCCAGAGGAAGCACAGGTTCAAATATTACTGATATGATAATTTTAGTTTAAAATGTTGCATTCATTTGTCTTTGTAAGACTATGGGATTAGTAGACTTGGCTTATTATTTGTTATAATTGTATCACCATACATTTTAAATGACTTGACAAAATGCTAAGGTGAGATCCCCTATGCTAGCTACCATATTTTGGTACCATTAGAAAAGTCTACTATGACAAATTTTAGCCAACTGTATGTATCAGAGGGATACCATGCTTTATATATAATTTAAACCTTAATAATAAAATTTTAAAATTAGTCTACAATCCAGGATTTTATATTGAACAATGGCAGAATAAAATAGTTATTATATATTTCATATATATAAATGTTTTGAATTAAAACATTTCTCTTGAAAGCAAAATCAATGAAGTAATGTACATGAACAATGAAATATTTGCTTTACACTATATTTCCATTAATGTTTATGACTATAGATTCGATTATATTCTGTAGACTTCTTTAAAGCAACAACTAACAAACACATATTGACCAAATGTCTTCAAATTTTATTCAAAATCATTCAGAGTATACTTTCTACAATTGGCTATAGTAAGTTAAAACTGAAGGTAAGGCTTTAGGTTACTACATAGCTTCAAGTACAGGTATTTGATAAAATGTTAGATTGTGAAGGAAAATAAAGGTTTATAACAAATAGCTTTTAAGTTAAAGTTATGTATCAGATTCAATGCTAGGTATTGGGTTACAAAATGTTATAAATAATATATGCATCCAATGCTTACTTGTCTGGATGGGGAAATCAAAATTTAGTTTTAATAAGTTTTATTTCAAGATGCACCTGACGATAGCTAAAATGTATATGTTAATTATGAGTTGGATATGGGAAAATCTCAAGAACAAATTCTACTCAGAAAGCACTGATTTATAAGTCATATTACACAGATGATTTTTGAAGATGTGAAAGTGGATGAGATTATGGTGGAGAATACAGCAGAGTACAGAAGAGAGTTTAGAACCAAAACCTAAGGAATATCATTACGTAGGGGATGCTGATGAAAGTATCTTCAGAATTAGAGTATCCAGTAAGGGACTTGTCATTGAAAATCTGTGTAAACTTAAATTTAGGAGAAGATTGTGGGGCAGAAGTGAGACTGCAGTGGAATAAGAAGAAAGTGTAGGTGACGAGTTTTTTTTTTTTGAATTATCTATACATATCTTTATTAATCACTATTGTTCCAGCAGTTTTCAAGTCAAATTAATAATCTTATTAGGGAGAAAATTCAATTGTAAATTGAATCAGTATAAACAAAGTTACTAGGTAATTTCATATTGCTCTGAGAGAAATATGGAACTTATACTGTTCAATTAGAATAGTGTTCTGCAAAAATACTTACAAAACCTCTCAAGATACTGCTACTGTAATTTTATATGAAGATAAGTGTATTTTTCAATAAAGCATTTCTAAATTAGCCTTTGTTTGTTTATGTTGAGAAAAGGGTAGTTTCCTGCATAAATGGCAAAGAACAATCATTTATTGGTTTATTTTGTCTCTACTAAACACATTAGTCATTTATCATTTAAATACCGGACTTCATTAGAAACCGTTGTAACACTTTTTCTCCCTCCTGCCATAAAAATACAGTAAGTAATTTGCTTAAAAAAACAATACAACACTAGGAACAAGTGTTCTGGTTTCTTCTCACTCAACTAAAGACATTTCTCAGTGATTTCAGTTTGTAAATCAGTAAGACAGTGCGGGCTACAAATCATTGCAGGCTGAAGACTGAGATTCAAATGATCTTCCACTTAAAAGTGCTGAGCTATGGACCTGCTCTCTCTATACCTCTCCATTTCCTAACATATATACAACTGAAACCACTGATTTATAAACTATTAAGTAGTGCTGAATTCTGTCTGCTCTATTAGTTTAAATGAATGCAACTTACCTTTAGCATTATATTCAGAAAAATACTTAAGCCTCAAGGTCCCCAATAACTTGGAGTACTGAACTAGATAACCACCCTAAGACACTTCTGACCGAAGTAATGCATTACTTAGAGACAGGTTTCCAAACCCTGCTGTTAGAACCTATGCATACATGGAAAACACTGGCAGTCAGTCATTGTTCACACAGTTTTACTCTTAAGGCAGTCCTCTGCCATTGGTCAGCTTGAACTAGGCCAGAGTCCAGCAGGAAAGTGCATAGTGCACCAGATTCACCATCTCTTAAGTCGCCACTGTTTTCTCTTCTTTACTGAAAGGCTATACTGAGCCAGACTTTACCCATGACAGGCCAGCAACATGAACACTTTTATTGTGTTGTTCTTCAGGCTTCTTTTTCTGAGTCAGCATTTTTACTCTGGCTTCATCATGTACAGAAGGATTCCATGGAGAAAAGCTAATTGCATAGAGGTCTTCTATTTTAGGTTGGTCAAACGAGCAGTGCACACCTTAACACTGTCAACAACTTTACTTTTAAAAAGCTGAATATCTTTTTCATACAGTACTGCAGCCTCTGGGTTCAGGGGGCTTGCTGTATCAATCTTGTAGAAAACTCTCCTTGCATACATTAATACCTACCAAATATGATTATGGTTCCGCCTCCATTTTGCAAATGCTCTCTTCACGTCCAGCTCACCTGAGGTGGGATCAACTAGCGGGTGAAAGACAGGAATATCGAACACCAAGCGTGGACAGTCACCATCTGGATAGTTATCAGGGATGTAAACTGTAAACTTAAATACGCCATCTTGGTAAAGTCCATGCTGTATGAATATTACTCCAAACCACATTAATGCAGAGCGATAAGATGGCTGCACATAGACGCCTGGTAGCTTCTGCTTCACAACCAAGGTAAATTCTGCAAGAAGAGAGTATTCCAGGTAGAAGGGTCCATAGGACGCATGCGTGCCATTTGTTGACTGTGCTGCTGGGGCAGGAGATGTAGGCTTAGTTATGGGCAAAGCATTTTTGGGAATAGAAGGCAGCTGTTTCTTTGGTGCAGTTCGTGGAGGACTGGTTTTCACGTCCCCTGTTAATGTCTTCTCTTCACCTTCAGATCGTTTGTGTACAGAGCTTGTAGACATGCTCCAGAAAGGGTTCATAACGTGTACTCCAAACAAAGAAATTCAGTGGTGTATCATCCAAATCTTCTGTCTTCGGCATTCACTTTACCCCAGTGCCTTCAGTGCAGAGCTCCTGGCTGCCAAGCGCTGTCGCGGCCCAACAGCATCTCCGGCCGCAGCGCCAGCCCTGCCCCTGCTTGATCCCCGCCCCGCCCCACCCTGCCCTGCCCTCGGCAGCGGGCTCCGCCCCCTCGAGTTTTGTACATCTTTTAAGGATATTTGTTTGTGGGGGATGGGGAAGAGGGAAGATAGGTAAAGCGGTTTGCATACAGCTGAGTAGTACATCTGATTTGTGGAGGATCCCTCTTCTCTAATATCAAAGAAACTTGAGTATATTTAATATTGGTGGGAAGGGACATTGTATTAGTCCCTTGTTCTCGCATTGCTATAAAGAAATACCTGAGACCTGGTAGTTTATAAAGAAAAGAGCTTTAATTGGCTCATGCTTCTGTAGACTGTACAGGAAGTATAGCAGCTTCTGCTTCTGGGGAAGCCTCAGGAAGCTTCCAGTCATAGCGTCAGGCAAAGAAGGAATGAGGCATCTCACATGATGGGAGCAGGAGCAAGACAGAGAGGTGAGATACACTTTTAAACAACCAGATCTCATGAGAACTCACTATCACAACGACAGTACCAAGGAAGATGGTGCTAAAGCATTCCTGAGAAACTGCCCGCATAATCCAATCTCCTCCCACCAGGCCCCACTTCCAACATTGAGAATAACAACTGCGATGCGGGTGAGGACACAGATCCAAACCATATCAGACATATTTTAAAGAAGTGATGGGGAAGTATTAAAAACAAAAGTATCATTCAGCAGAGCAAGGTGGGAGGATCTTTGCCTATGTCTTTATTACCAAGGAACCATCTTAGCATGTTGAATCCTGTATGTGTTCAAGCTATTTTATTTTCACTTTTTCTTCTCTATTTACATAGAGAGAACACGAGCAAAGCTTGTGGTCTGAGGATTATGCCAACTGTAGACAATATTTAAAAGTTTGGGCCGGGCAAGTTGGCTTACGCCTGTAATCCCAGCACTTTGGGAGGCTGAGGCGGGCGGATCACGAGGTCAGAAGATCGAGACCATCCTGGCTAACACGGTGAAACCCCTTCTCTACTAAAAATACAAAAAATTAGCCGGGCGTGGTGGCGGGTGTCTGTAGTCCCAGCTACTCAGGAGGCTGAGACAGGAGAATGGAGTGAACTGGGGAGGCGGAGCTTGCAGTGAGCCAAGATCACCTCACTGCACTCCAGCCTGGGTGACAGAGCGAGACTCCGCTTCAAAAAAAGATAAATAAATAAAATTAAATTAAAAATAAATAAATAAATAAAAAGTGTGCAGAATAAATTGAAACTATTTAAGAAACATGATTTATGTCATAAAAAGAAATGATCATTTTATTGTGATGAATATACATTAAAACAAAATACATGTTAAAGTAAGTTTATTTCAGTTATGTTATTAAAAGTAATATATAAACAATATTTCAAAAAACTTTTTCATACTCTGTGATCCACTTCTCTTCTTCCAAGTGACTTTTCTCATAGTGTCATATTCTATTTGTATTTAAAAGGAAAATTAATCCATATGGTTTCGCATTCTTTATATTTATCTCATCGCAATGTTTTGCATGAACTGTTTTCTATCTCAAAATGTTCTAAACCTTTTAAAAGCCTTTTATTCTACGTTGCAGAGAGCTATTATATACACAATTTAAGTCAAGGCTGAAAGGACTCAAATTTATTTGCAAATGAAAATCTCATAGGGTTAGAATGAATTAAAAACACTTCCTGTTAAAATATATGTGAATATGTGTGAAAATTGTTATACCAAAAACAATTTTGGCATTTTAACTTATTCTGACCTTTTTCTTCCAATATTTAGGGTGATATGATTGTTAACCAGAAATATGCATATTTATTTGAAAATACAGATAATTTTTCTCCCTTCAGTCCAAATATGGGTGTTTCTGATTGATAATAATTGGGATTCTACTTTGACAATGTATTTCACTGCTCAAAATAAAATAGCATTAATTAATAGGCCCAATATAACCTCACTATGTTTTTCTTTTTCCTGGATTTATGAACGCAACATATGACACAACCTTCTATCACTTTTATATGCTCTTCAGAAAGGTTCTCCTTCACAAACTCTGTACCACTGACTGCCTCCATCACTAGTTTATTACTTATGATAAGCAATGTTAAATTATGAAATACATACCTTATACTTTTTTTCCCAAACATGTTATAAGATGATTCATTATAGATACTGTTTTCTGCTTTTCTTGTGTTTCACAAACTGCTAAAGACTATGGTATGTGCTTAGAATTTGTACAATAAGCACATGACTCATTTCCTATTATTCCACTTGTAGCTAATTATTGAGCTTTGTATCCAAGCTTTGCTTACCCATGATCTGTTATTTATTAATGCCTCTCCTCTGAGAAAAAGTCTTAATTTTCCTGAGACACAATAGGCACCTGAGTGAAAGGAGAGTTGATCCAAAAATACTGTGTTTGCACAAAGACTATGAAGACTTATGGTAAAATATTCCAGTTTCTTTCAAAGAACAAAGGCCAGATATTAGGAGAAGGTATAAATATTTTCACATCATTGCTTTGTGTCACTCTTTTACTTTCTGCTCCATCCCCAATAATTCATAATGTGGTTAAATGGCACGCAAGTTGCAATTAGACACACACAAAAACACACAGCAGTGAAAGAAAATTTCTTAGCATTTCTGTGGCATCATGAGTTCAAAGTATCACCAGTAGCATTGGCAATGGCTTGAATAGAAATGGGACATAAGTATTTTGATACATACATCAGCTCTGTTGATATCAGTGAACAGCTAATTACAGCCGTATGTCAAGGAAGCACAAATATCAGTCAGCTCTTATCAGTGTTATTTCCTTGAAAAAGCAAGCAGATCAACTACTACCACTTTTGGGGGAAAAAGATTAGTACTCTCCCTATTAAACATTAAAAAATCTCAATGTGGATTCCATAATTTATCTGCAGCAATACTGGTTTCAGCACCATAGCTGCTGTAGGGGTAACTGTGGTGACTGAAAATGTCACCAGATAATAGTACAGATGGATGGAGGAAAGTAGACATGCCATAAAGTATCTATAATGAACAATTTTCAGAGCAAACGGTAATATCCTCTATTTCAAAATGATTTGAAAGAGGCCAAAACTTTTGAAGAGTAAGTGAGCACAGAACTTCAAAATGCTTGCGACACTTATAACGGTCTATTTTTATTTTCAAGCTGTTGAGGGCTGAGAAATATAGAATCGTTTTAGTTCTGTTCAGGAGGCATTAAATGGAAAGCTACAATTTACTAGGCACTATTCTGGGTGTGAGAGACATAGAGATTAGGTGGACATATTTCTTGCTTCTCCAATGGGGAAGACAGATGCTTAAAGAGATTGTTTTTATATAATGTTACATACATTATAACAGATAAATATAAATTATTTCAGTCTTTGTCAAAGTGATTCTTCAAATACTTGAGCTTTTAAGGATGAGTAAAAAAAAAGGCCAAAAAGTTTACCTAATCAAAAAGGGAAAATTAGAAGAGCTAACACTTATTCAGTGATTTATTGTGATTCATATTCTTCTAAGCACTTTACATGGATCATTCATTAATCCTGAAAACAACTCTGTGGGATGGTTCTATTGTCATATCAATTTTACAGATGGGGAAATCAAGGCTCAGAATAGTCAAATAACTTACATAACTTCACAAAGCTAATGACATAGAGGATGGATTAAGAACCCAGGCAATTTGACCCCAGGGCAACACAGTGTTTTGCTAAACAGATCATGGAGAACTGTATAAAACCATTTTCCACTTACTCTAATTATTTCAGTGAGCCATTAAAAAAATTTAAGTAGGCATAAAACAGTAAGGTATTTGCTAAAGGTCTGAAAATCTTCTACTGCAGAATTTTGAGATGATTTAGAACTAGAGGCTGGGAGACCATTTAGAGATAATTGCATGTGAATTCTGCCAGGGTCCGGCTTATGACAGATGTAGAAGTGAGTGGAAAGGGGGATGGATTTGAGATACAGAAATGAGAATTTCCATGAATCGATACTTGATCGGGTGCATAAAGTAAGTAAGAGATGAAGGATGGTTGTGTAGATGACATTAAATTTAACTGAGAGGAAATGCAAGCGTAATGGGTTTGGAGTGTGAATTGAAAAATGGGATAGATGTTTTGGGATAAATGAGAGTGAAATGTCTGTTAAGCATTTATAGATATGCATGCAACAAAGTTCAATGTATGAGTCTGAAGAAGAGAAAAAAGTTTGCAAGTTATATTTCAAATTCCCTTAGTTCAACTTAACAAATGTTATTGAGCAATTAATATAATTCAGTTTTGATACCAGAAAATATTTTCTTCTCTCAAGGATCTAAACATTTATGAATGGTTATCACTATATAGGTGGGACACAAATTACATTACTCTACAAGTACATTAGATTGAAAGGAGAAACGAACCAAAAGCAGAGTAAAGGGGACAAATGAGGTCAATTAAGATGGCAAAAAAGTTAGAAGGAATACTGACAAAATATAATATTATGAATGAAATGGAAATAGAATTTAAAGAGGGGTGAGTTTAACAGTGACGTGCACTGCACAATGATCATATGCAGCAATTCTTTTTAATATTTCTATCTTGGTTATTCCTGTTTCAAAATATTTATTGGCAATCTGAGAATGACTCTATTCATCCAACAACGCACACTAAATAGGCCCAGAAAATACCATTATTCTTTCAGCTCCTCCAGCTAGTTATGTTGGTATTCTGCTGCTTACAATGAAAAGACACCAGACAGATGCAGGAAGCAAGACCAAATCCTGGCTTTGTGGAAAGACTATGACTCTAAAATACAGCCTTTACCAAAATCACATCAAGAAATGTAAATCATATCTCAATTATTATTTAATTCCTTAGGTCAATAGAAATTAGGAAAAGTACATATATGGCAATCTTTTGCATAGAAGTATAATTTAGTGAGTAAAATGGTTTCTAATTACAATTATATTTATACTAACATTTTTAATAAGAGAGAATAAAGACTTCAGGTTATCACAGGATATATGAACAGACACAAGATACATATTTTTTGTGCATTTCACACGTGGAATTACCAGGCATTTATAGAATTGAAACCTAAAAAATAGAAAGAAGATAACATAAAGTGAACAAAATTCAAATACCAAGACATATATAGTCTATACTTATGCCAGCTGTAATTTCTTACTGAGAAAGATTTCAACATCATGTTGTTTGGCATTTGTTAAATGAGGAAAAATGCATAAAGTATAGCTGAACTTTTCCTAAGAGGGTAAAATTATAGATATTTTTGGCACATAGCATCTCACTTAAACAAAAGAAAAGGGGGTGAACTATGTTTTCTTAGATGTATTATAAGCAACCCAAGAAAACCTGGTTCCTTATCTTCAGTCATGCATCTTTCTTTAGGACATATATTTAATTTTGGTTGATAATTTTATCAAAAGCAAGAAATAAATACAAGCAAAAGTTTTTGTTTGTTTGTTTTTGTTTGTTTGTTTGTTTGTTTTTAATCCAGAAAACACATCTGCTTCATGGTCTTATTTATGTGTGGAATCTAAAAAGTTGAACTCATAGAAGTATAGAACAGAATGGTAGTTACCAAAGTTGGGGGACAGGGATGGGCTTGCGAGATCTTGATCAAATAAAACAAAATTTCAGTTAGATAGAAAAAATAAGTTAAAGAGATCTATTTAACAATATGGCGACTATAGTTAATAACAATGAATTGAACTCGTAAATTACCAAGAGAGCAGATTTGAAGTGTTCTCATCACAAATAAATGATACATATGTGAGGTAATGCATATGTTAATTAGCTCAATTTAGCCATTCCACAATGTACATACTTTTACAAACATGCTGTACATGATAAATATGCACAATTTTCATCAATTAAATGAAAGGAAAAAATCTGCAATTTTTTACTGTCTGAAATGAGGATATAAAATGTTACTCTTAAATATATTTATTAGACTGAACACGGTGGCTCACACCTGTAATCCCAGCACTTTGGGAGGCCAAGGCAGGTGAATCACAAGGTCAGCAGTTTGAGACCAGCCTGGCCACTATGGCGAAACCCCGTCTCTACTAAAAATACAAGAATTAGCCAGGCATGGTGGTGGGTGCCTGTAGTTCCAGCTACTCAGAATGTTGAGGCAGGAGAACAGCTTACACCCAGGAGGCGGAGGTTGCAGTGGGCCAAGATCATGCCACTGCACTCCAGCCTGGGCAATAGAGCGAGACTCTGTCTCAAAAAATATATATATACACATACATGTAGCATAGCGCCGTGAATTTTATATTTTAATAGATTTAAAATAAAATATTTTGAAAAAAGGTAAACAAATTTGCCTTTTGCTTTTTGCTTTTCTTGTTGCTTGTAACTGTAAAAAAGTTATTCTGGCAAAGTATGATTTTTATAGGAAGAAGTTATAACTATGCATCTACTTTCCAGTTGGTGTATCTACTTTTCTTTATCACTTTAGCGATGCTTCATTGAGATTCAGGTAATAGCTGTGTTCAACTAATGTTTCATTTGTCCTTAGGTTCAGATGAGTAGGTTTTTCACAAAATGACTCCAGAAAACATCCAACAATTACTTAAAAATGACACCTAGATAAAATTTAAAAATATTATGAATAGAGAGATAATGACAAGCAGAAATTTGGATAACACTATAAAATAACCTTATTAAGAATTTATATTTTTACCTGTGTATTTATCTCCATGTCTACTAATCCATGTATCACTTAAACATCCTCACTGAATTCAAGACAGTTTATACCTTAAATGCATGCATTTGTTAGAACCCTGTCACAAACCTGAGATGGGCATGATTGCTTAGACACTCTTCAAATGATTTTCACATCATCATTTTAACCTTAAGTGACATAGCTCAGTCAATCTGAAAACCGACAGCCAAATTGTTAATGACTAACAAATATGCAACAGGAAATATGCAACATCATCCAGCCCTCATTAGACAAAGGGAATTGGCAAGAGAAAACTGGAGTGACAGCATTCTACAATCTCTCAAGTGAGGATCTAAGTTCATTGTGAGTCATGGGGGACAGATGACACAAGCATAAATACACAGATTTTGAGTGGCTTAGCTCAAAGACAAGGCAGATTTCTTCAGCGGTTAGTCCTACTTTGTACATCCACCTTTGGGGCATCTTGGATGCAGAGGTAAGAACTGCATGTAGAGATGAAGGGCACGGGTGGGTTCCCTATCATGAGGACCTTCAAGGGGGCCACCTCTAATCTTGAAGAACACTAATGTGATTGTAACAACATCTGCAACCTCATTTCTGCTCACTCGAGGGTCGCAATTCTCAGAGAATCAAAATATCTTTCATAAGAATATAAGCTTGATATTATAGCTGTCTTATTCATTGCTGTCTCCTGTTCTAGGTACAATTTTTACTACATAGAAGGTGTTTATTAAATATTAATTGAATGAATGAACCAAGATTTGGGGGAAATATATAGAAATGGCTCACAACCCTGTCACCTTGGAAAGATTGATTTTTTTCCATGTTGATTTTCCAGGACAAACTGATGCCCCCACAAAACACTGATTCTTCTGTGTAACATAAGTCCAAAAACACTGCCATCTCAGACCCACTGACTGCTCCAGATTAATTTAGCAATCTTAGTAGGCTGACCAGTATGAGTGTACTGCTTTATTAAAAACTGGCCAGATGAAGATGTACACAGACAAGCTTCAACAAGATGATTAGATAAGTCATCCAAAGCTACCTTCAGACATCCTGAACAAAGCAGACAATTATAACTCAGAAGACTCTCACTGTTTTAAATTACTTTGAGATTTCAGGAAAAAATAAAAGAAGGAAAAAAAGACCTGTCAAACTGACTAGTTCATAAACTCCAACCAAATAGTATACAGTGGCTAGTCCATACATGCTGCCCAGTTAGACATTTAGATATTACAGATATTACCTCCCATGCTCTTACTGGCTACAGCTGACCAGTTCCAACACATACATATTGATTTTCCATTGCTTTCTAACAACAGCCACAACAATTCAGTGGCATACAATAAAACTGTTTATTATTCAGGCATCTGGGATGGTTGTTGAGGGAGCCTACTTAATTTGGCTGTGGGTAGGATGGCTGTTGATCCAGTAAGACTACCTGTGGCTAGGACAACCTAGACAGCTCACCTTTATTCTAGCTGCCTCTTATCCTTCAGCAGACTAGCGTGAACAGCAATAGCAAAGGCACAACATTTAGGAAAGACCAACAGTGCAAGAGCTTCTGTTTTTTTTTTTTTTTTTTTTTCAAATTTTGGGTTATGTTATGTTTACTAATATCTCATGAACAAAGCAGGTCATAAGACAAGGCCCGAAGTCAGAGTAGCAGGCCAGAATTGGTACTACCATTTCAATTTATCACACACACAAAAAGAATGTGAGTATTAGACACCTTGGCTCTTATAGACAAATTGAAAAATTCCCCATCATAAAAAAATTCCCATGCTCAGAGTCACTCATGTGGGATGGCACTTTGACTGAGATCATTAAGAGCTAGTAGGGAGTGACTCAGTGTATTCTTCTACATTTTACTATATATGATTTCATGCTTTCTCTAGGTGGTAAATATCCAAACATACAGCGACTATGTACCAACCTTGTCCATTAATTTTTAAAAATTTGTAATTTTTGTGGGTACATAATAGGTGTATATATTTATGGGGTACATGAGATGTTTTGATACTGGTGTGCAGTGAGTGATAATCACATCATGTAAAATGGGGTCTCCATCCCCTCAAGCACTTATCCTTTGTGTTACAAACAATCAAATTATATACTCTTTTAGATATTTAAAATGTACAATTAAATTATTAACTATAGACCCTGTTTTACTATCAAATACTAGGTCTTATTTATTCTTTATAATTTTTTTAACTCATAACTGTCCCAGCCTCCTGCACCTTCCATCTCACTACCCTTCTCAGCCTCTGGTAACTATCCTTCTACTCTCTAGCTTCCTGAGTTCATTTGTTTCAATTTTCAGATGCCACAAATAAGTGAGAACATGAGATGTTTGTCTTTTCTGTGCCTCACTTATTACCCTTAGCATAATGACCTCTAGTTTCATCCGCTTTGTTACAAATAACACAATATCATTCTTTTTTACGGCTGAACAGTACACCATTGTATATAAGTACCACATTTTCTTTATCCATTCACCTGTTGATGGACATTTAGGTTGCTTCAAATTTTGGCTATTGTAAACAGTGCTGCAGCATGGGAGAGCAGATAGCTCCGTTACGAATTTCGTTTCCTTATGGTGTATACTCAGCAGTGGGATTGCTGGATCATATGAGAGTTCAATTTTTAATTTTTTGAGAAACCTCCAATCTGTTCTCCATAGTGGTTGTACTAATTTACATTCCCACCAACAATGTGCAAGGGTTTCCTTTTCTCCATATCCTTGTCATCATTTATTATTGCCTGTCTTTTGGATACAAGCCATTTTAACTGGGGTGAGATGATATCTCATTGTAGTTTTAATGTGCATTTTTCTGATGTCCGATGATGTTGAGCACCTTTTCATATCCCTGTTCACCATTTGTATGTCTTCTTTTTAGAAATGTCTATTCAAATCTTTTGATCATTTTTAAGTTGGATTATTAGATTTTTTCCTATGAAGTTGTTTGAGCTCCCTATATATTCTGGTTATTAATCCTTTGTCAGGTGAGTAGTTTGCAAATATTTTCTCCAATTCTGTAGGTTGTGTCTTCATTTTGTTCATTGTTTCCTGCGCTGTGTAGAAGCTTTTTAACTTGACGTAATCCCATTTACCAGTTATTTTTTTTTTCCACTTTGGTTGCATGTCCTAGTGAGGTAGTACTCAAAATTTTTTTCCAAGACCAATGTCCTAGAGAGTTTCCCCAGTGTTGTCTTGTAACACTTGCATAGTTTGAGGTCTTAGATTTAAGTCTTTAATCCACTTGACTTGATTTTTGTATATGGTGGAGATAGGGGTCTAGTTTCATTAGTCTGCATATGGATGTCCAATTTTTCCAGCACCATTTATTGACGAGACTGTCTTTTCCTGAATATATGTTCTTGGCACTTTTGTTGAAAATGAGCTCACGGTGGGTGTATGGATTTGTTTCTGGGTTCTCTATTCTGTTCCATTGGTCTATGTGTCAGTTTTAGTGCCAGTACTTTGCTATTTTGGTTACTTTAGCTCTGTAGTATAGTTTAAAGTCAGGTAATGTGATTACTTCAGTTTTGTTATTTTCCTAGGATAGTTTTGGCTATTCTCAGACTTTTGTTTTTCTACATATATTTTAGGATTGTTTTTCTTTTCTATTTCTGTGAACAATGTCATTGGTATTTTGATAGGGATTGCACTGAATTTGTAAATTGCTTTGGGTAGTATGAACATTTTAACTATATTGATTCTTCCAATATGTAAAGATTGAATATGTTTCATTTTTTGGTGTCCTATGCATTTTTTTCATCAGGACTTTATAGTTTTCATTTTAGAGATCTTTCACTTCTTTGGTTACATTAATTCCAATGCTTTTAATTTTATGTGTGACTATTGTAAATGAGATTTTTTTAATCTATTTTTTTCAGATTGTTCACTGTTGACATACAGTAATGCCACTGATTTTTGTATATCGATTGTGTATTCTGCAACTTTACTGAATTTGGTTATAAGTTCAATAGTTTTTTGTTGAGTTTTTAGGTTTCTCCAAATATAATATCACATCATCTGAAAACAAGGCTAATTTGATTTATTTCCTTATTATTTGGATGCCCATTATTTCTTTCTTATGTCTAGTTGCTCTAGGTAGGATTTCCAGAGCTATGTTCAATAACAGTGGTGTAAGTGGGCATCCTTGTCGTGTTCCAGATCTTAGAGGAAAGGTTTTCAGTTTTTTTCATTCAGTATGATACTAGCTGTGGGTCTGTCATATATGTCTTTTATTTTATTGAGGAATTTTTTTTCTAAATCCAGTTCTTTTTAGTTTCTTTTAATTATGAAGGAATGTTGAATTTTATTGAATGCTTTTTCAGCATCCATTGAAATAATCACATGGTTTTTATCCTTTATTCTATTGACATTATGTATCACATTGATTTGCAAATGTTAAACCATCCTCACATCCCTGGGATAAAGTGATTCTACTTGGTTATGATGAAAAATTTTTCTAATGTATTGTTGAATTTAGTTTGCTAGTATTTTGTTGTGGATTTTTGCATCAATATTAATAAGAAATATTGGCTTGTAGTTTTCTTTGATTTCCTTTTTTTGATGTGTCTTTGTCTGGTTTTGGTATCAGGGTAATACTGACCTTGTATAATGAATTTGGATGTATTCTTTTCTCCTCTATTTTTTAGAATAGTTTGAATAGAATTGGTATTAGCTCTTCTTTAAATGATTGTTAGAATTCAGCAATAAAGCCCTCAGGCCTCAGGTTTTTATTTATTTGGAGACTTTTTAATGCTATTTTGATCTTCGTATTTGTTTTGGTCTGTTTAGGTTTTGGTTTTTTTTGTGGTTCAATATTGGTAGGTTGGATATGTCTACAAATTTGTCCATTCCTTCTGGATTTTCCAATTTATTGGCATATAGTTGCTTATAGTAGCCACTAATGATCTTTTAAATTTCTGTGGTATCAGTTTTTAATGTCTCCTTTTTCAACTCTTATTTTATTTATTTGTGTCTTCTCTCTTTTTTTTTAAATCTAGCTAAAGGTTTGTTAATTTCATTTTTCTTTTAAAAAACAACTTTTTAATTGAAGTTTTGTATTTTTTTCTTATCAATTTCATTTATTTCAGCTCTGATCTTTATTATTTATTTTCTTCTACTAATTTTGGGTATGGCTTGCTCTTAGTTTTCTATTTCTTTAAAATACATCCTTAGGTTATTTATTTGAAGTTTTTCTTATTTTTTTGATGTTGGCATTAGCTACAAACTTCCTTCTTAGTACTATGTTTTCTGTATCCCATTAGTGTTGGTTTGTTGTGTTTCCATGGTCATTTATTTCAAGAAGTTTTTCTACTTCCTTTTTAGTTTGTTCATTGACCCACTGTCCATTCAGGATCATAGTGTTTAATTTCCATGTAGTTATATATTTTCCAACGTTTATCATTTTATTAATTTTTAGTTTTTTTCCATTATAGTCAGAGAAGTTGTATTATATTATTTCTTTTTTTAATGTTTTAAGGCCTGTTTTGTGACCTAAAATATGGTCTATCTTTGAAAATGACGCAAGTGCTGAGGAAAGTAATGTGTATTCTGCAGCCATTGGGTGAAATGTTCTGTAAATATATGTTAGATTCACTTGTTCTATAGTGCAAATTAAGTGTGATGTTTCTTTATTGATTTTCTTTCTGGATGGTCTGTCCAATGCTGAAAGTGGGGTATTAAATTCTCCAGCTATTATTGTATTGGGGCCTATATCTCTCTTCAGCTTTAAAAATACTGGCTTTATATATCTGGGTGATCCAGAATAGAGTGCATACATACTTAAAATTGTTATATTCTCTTGCTGAATTGGTACCTTCACCATTATATAGTGACCTTCTTTATCTTTTCTTATGGTTTTTGTCTTGAAATCGATTTTGTTTGATATAAGTATAGCCATTCCTGCTCTATTTTGGTTTCCATTGGGATGGCATGTCTTTTTTTTTATCCTTTTATTTACAGTCTATGTGTCTTTATAGGTGAGGTATGTTACTTGTAGGCAACAGATCAGTGGGTCTTGTTTTTTCATTCATTCAGCCATACTATTGGAGACTTTGGAATGTAAATAATAACATTTACATTCAATGTTATTATTGATAAGTAAAGACTTACTCCTGCCATTTTAACAATATGTTTTCTGGCTGTTTTGTGGTCTTCTCTTCCTTGCTACTCTTTTTGTCTTCCTTTTTATAAAGGTGATTTTGTCTGGTGATATGACTAGTTTCTTGCTTTTTATTTTTTGTGTTTCTGATATGTGTTTTTGGATTGAGTTTACCATGAGGGTGGCAAATACTATCTTATAACCCATTATTTTAATTTGACAACAACTTAAATACTATTTGCATAAACAATCAAGTAAAAAAATGAATAAAGACTCTCTGTCTTAATTTTGTCCCCCTAATTTTTAAATTTTGTTGTTTCTCTTTATGTCTTATTGTACTGTTTATGCATTAAACAGCTGTTGTAGTTATTATTTTTGGTTGGTTCATCATTTAGACTTTCTACTTAAGAGAAGAGTAGATTACACACCACGATTACAGTGTTATAATATTCTGTGTTTTTCTGTGTACTGACTAATACCAGTGAGTTTCGTACTTTCAGATTATTTCTTCTTGCTCATTAATGCCCTTTTCTTTCTGATTGAAGAACTCTCTTTAGCATTTCTTCCAGGACATTTCTGGTGTTGATGAAATCGCTCAGGTTATTATCTGGAAAAGTCTTTATTTCTCCTTCATGTTTGAAAGATATTTTCACTGGATATACTATACTAGAGTAAAAGTTTTTCCTTCAGAGCATTAAATATGTTATGACACTCTATTCTAACCTATAGGATTTCACTGAAAAGTCTGTGACCACACATATTGGAGCTCCATTGCATTTTATTTGTTTCTTTTCTCTTACTGCTTTTAGAATTCTTTCTTTATCCTTAACCTTTGGGAGTTTGATTATTAAATGCCTGAAGAAGTATTGTTTGGATTAAACCTGCTTGCTGTTATAACATTCTTGTACTTGGATATTGATATCTTTCTCTAGGTTTAGAAAGTTCTAGTTATTATCCCTTCAAGAGAACTTTCTACCCTTATCTATTTTTCTGCATCTTCTTTAAGGCCAATAACTATTAGACCTGCCCTTTTGAGGTTATTTTTTTAGATCCTGTAGATGTGCTTCATTGTTTTTTATTCTTCTGTGTCTTCTGTTTTTTTTCAAACAGCCTGTTTTCAGGCTCAATAATTCTTTCTTCTGCTTCATCAATTTTGCTATTAAAAGACTTTGACACATTCTTAAGTAGGCCAATTGCAGTTTTCAGCTCTAGAATTTCTGCTTGATTCTTTTTACTTATTGCAATCTTTTTGGTAAATTTAACTTTTAGAATTCTCAATTTCTTCTCTGTGTTATTTTGAATTTTTTTGAGTTTCCTAAGCACAGCTATTTTGAATTCTTTGTTTGAAAATGCCACATATCTCTGTTCCTCCAGTATTGATTCCTGATGCTTATTTACTTCATTAGGTGAGTTAATGTTTTCCTGGATAGACTTGATACTTGATATTTATTTGTGTCCAGGCTTTGAAAAGTCAGGTATTTATTGTAGTCTTCTTAGTCTGGGCTTGTTTTTACCTGTTTTACATGAAAGGCTATTTAGATATTTGAAATGACTTGTGTGTAGTGATCTCAGCTTTATCTACTTCAGGGGCACCCCAAGCCCAGCAACGTTGTGGTTTTTGAAGACTTGTAAAGGTAACTTCTTGTTGGTCTTGTACAAGCCTGGAAGAATTATCTAGCCTGCTGTAACCACTTCCTGGCTACTGCCTACATTTGTTGAAGTCCCTGAGTCTCCACAGTCAGCAGATGGAAAGGAAAAGCAAGGCTAGCCAGAACCGTTTCCTTCTCTTCAGAGTGGTGAGTTCCCCAGGCATCGGTTGGGTCCAGAGGTCCTGTTTGGGATTCATGGACTAGATTAAAATATGTTAGAACCCCATGTTCTACCTGATGTAGTCCTTCCCACTTTTCCTTCCACTTTCTAAAGTCAAACGAGCCTCCCTCCATGGCCACGGCCACCACGGACCCACAAGGAGTACTGTCAGACTACCGCGGATGATCCTTTAAGGCCTAAGATCTATTTAGTCAGCTTGTGATGAATGCTACCTGGCCTGAGACTCACTCTTCAGGGCAGTGAGCTAAAGTCTTGCCCAGGGCAGGTCCAGAACTGCCATTCAAGAGCCAAGTCCTGGAATCAGGGACCCTAAGAACTTGCTTGATGCTCTGCTTTCTCTGCCTTCCTGTGGCTGAGCTGGTACCTAAGGTGCAAGATCAATTCCTCTTTACTTTTTCCTCCACTTTTCTCAAGTAGAAGAAGTCCTGCCCCATATCCACCACAGCTCTAATGGTCTGCATCTCATTTGAAGCCAGGAAGTTTCAGAGGCTCATCCAAAGCCTTCAACATAGTAACTTGGTTTTACTGCTGGTTATTCAAGGCCAAGGGGCTCTTTGGTTAGCATGTTATGAATGCTTCCAGGACTGGGTTCTTTTCCCTTCTGAGCCAGCGTACTTCTAGGAATGCCATTCTATAGCTAGTGTCTGGAAAGGGGGCCCCACGACTCTGACTGGTGCCCTATCCTGCTGTTGCTGGGCTGGTATCCAAGATGCAAGACAAAGTCTTCCCTACTCTTGCCACTCCCCCATTCTTCCTTCTTATCTCTTCACACCTAGAGAAGAGTTCTCTTTTGGAACCATGAGCTGTGGATCCTGGGTTTAGGAGATGGGTGCTGCCAGCATTCACTTGCCTACCGTGGCTGGTGTCTCAATAGGTCACGTGCCCCACCATTCCACTGTCTCAGGTCCAGTTAAGCACTAGGCCTTACCTAAGATTTGCCTTCCTTTTGTCCTAGATATTCTTTCAAATTTATTTAGGGCTCCACAGCACTTTTGTCCACAGTGGTGAGGCTTGCAGGAACTCAATTTCAGACTACTGGGATCGGTGAGTCCCCTCTGGGTAGGCCTCGTTATATGTTCCCCATGGGTAGGCATCAGTTGAGTTTGGTCTGGTTTTGTTTTCTGTTATAATAAAGCAGCACTGAATTCACTACCTCAAAATTGCTGCTCTCACCCTCTCATCGGCACACAGAAAATCTATCCATAGCATGCCAACACTGCTGCCAGGGGATAGGGTAGTGATGGTGTCAGTGTTCCAAGACTCTTTACCTCTTCAGTGCCTCAGATACGAAGTTAAAACCAGGTACTATGAGTGTTCACCTGATTTTTGGTTCATATAAAGGCGCTTTGATTTTGTAGATAGTTGCTAAGTTGATGTCCTTGCAGGAGGGTTGATCAGTGGAGGCTTCTATTCCACCATCTTGCTCTGTGTCTCCTAGCATATCTGTTTATTTTTATACGTTAATAACCAATTTATATATAGTAATGTATTCCTCATATTTTTAGGCACATATTTATTTAATTAATCTTAAAATTTTTAAAGTATGTTATTTATTTGTTTTTTTGAGATGGAGTTTCACTCTTGTCGCCCAGGCAGGAGCACAATGTGCCATGGCACAATCTCACCTCACTGCAACCTCCACCTCCCGGATTCAAGTGATTCTCCTGCTCAGCCTCCCGAGTAGTTGGGATTACAGGCATGCGCCATCACAACCAGCTAATTTTGTATTTTTAGTAGAGACAGGGTTTCTCCATGTTGGTCAGGTTGGTCTCGAACTCCCAAACTCAGGTGATTCTCCCGCCTTGGCCTCCCAAAGTGCTGGATTACAGGTGTGAGCCACCATGGCTGACCTGTTATGTTAAATATTGTTACATGTGTCTAGTCCTTAAGAGGCATACAAGGTTCACAGAATAATTTATGTTTTCAAGCCTGCCAGAGGAAATAAATTATAACAGAATTGGCTTAGAGTGTCCAAGTTTTGCATTTAGTCACAGTCAGTCATATGTGTCTCTATCACGACCTCCTAATGTGAATTTTAACTGTTTTCAATGAAGTGAATCAATAAGCTCATTAATAATCTATATCTGTTAAATATTAAGGTATGCTTGATCAGAGAAGAGCACTTTAGGCCAAGTAAAGTTAATTTGTTTAACTGTAATAACAAATTGAATTATGAGCTCACTATTCATGTTCTTCTAGAAATGAATGAGAGTCGTTATTATGAATTAACTTCTTAATAAGGATAATTGACATTTAAAGGGAAACAGGAAACATTGTAATCGTGACATGTCATTAGAAAGCCCCTCTACAGATGGCACAATGAGCTGTTTTCACTTCTACTCTCTGCCAACCTGCTTTTTTTTCTTTTTTTGTATTAAGTATTAGGCAGCATGGACTAAGTCAATACAAATATCACTCTACCTCAAAGCCCACTTTTATAGTTAAGCCAATTTTTCCCTCCAATTCACTGTTTGCATAAACTACATCAGGAGCTGAATAATCAGTTATTTATTATTTACTTACTGTATTTATTTTCTTGAAAAAGTTTGTACATGATACGAAAAGCACTACTTTTTTGTTGTATTATTCATTCACTTCTCACAAAAATTTGAATCACTAAAATTGAGAGGACATTACACCACCACCATTGGCTTCATATGGCTTAGAATGAACAGTGCTTTATGTTAACAAAAAAATAATGGCACTAAGAATTGAAGTGAATTAATACTTTTGCTATACTGGTATACCCTAAAAAGATTGCAAAATCAAGGTGTGTTTCTAGAAACATAATGAACTTAGTAGTGGTTATAATAACAATAATAATAAATTGAAGAAATTGCCAAGTCAGAGTAGGAGGTCATAACGATAGCTTCTAGACAAGTTAGGCCCAATAATAGGAGATTACAAATGTAATGATCTTATTTTAATTTACATTAGTATTTTTGTAAAATTAATCCTAGTAGCCAAAAAGCATAATATTTATTAATATAATGATTTCAAGTAACTTTAAATCACTGAAAAAATAAAAGCTCACTGTGGATAAATGTAGTTTGCAAATCAGTGTTCAACTTAAGTGACATAAATAAATTTGACAATGTATCCATTATGTTTAATAAGTTAAAATAAGTAAAATTTGATAAACTGAATGGATGCTTATATGACATTATAAATGTAAATACATAATCTTCTCTGTCCAAATGACATTTAAACACAAAAAAAAACTAGTGCAAACTGCTATGGCAATGAGATAAGAAACGTATTATTCAAAGTTTTTAATTGAATTAGAATTTAAAATTTAAACAAAGTTTAAATATCAAAAATATATATAGATAGAAGTATTTCAGGTTTTAGAAAAATTATAAAGATTCAACGCTGTGATAAATCATGACAAATATAGGAAATAGTCAGTAACTTGGTATGGATTGGGCACAGCAACTATATTTAGGAAAAAGAAAAATTCTAGATATAATTCTGGATATTAATATTGGAAGCCCCAAGATTAATAATAAATTTTAGAATAAAAAACAGCAAAAGACAAAGAAGTTGGCTGAGCTAATAAAATGACATTATCTACTTTTAAACAAATTATCTCCACCAAAGAATACACTATTTGTAAATTAATATCAAAAGTGTAAAATGTCAGAATTCTACAGTTTTATGCATCTAAGCAAAAGGCACCCCTTGCTCCTGATCCTATGTATTCAGTATTGTCATGGAATACTGAGTCTGAATACAAAAAATGTTCTGTGCAATGAAACAGTAGAGAATGGCACAATATTTATGTAAGAATAAAATAACTAGCTCTGTCCACTTTCATGGAAATAAAATGTGTATATATAATGTCAGCCTGGCCTTTAAAAGCTTGGTAAATGATGGATAACTGCATTGACTCTTCAGTGAGATGAAAAAATCCAAATAGTATAAAGAAAATTTTATACACTTTTAAAATAGGCTGTTTATATATAATATATATAATATTTTATATATTATTTATAATATTTTATATATTATATATATTTTATATATAATATGTATATTTGTATATAATATGTATAATATTTTATATATAATATATAATATTTTATATATCTCTATACACACACACACACACACACACACACACACACACACACACTAAATTTAGCTGGGCTTTGTGTTTCGTGCCTATTGTCCCAGGTACTCAGCAGGACCTTTAGAGCACAGGAGGTTGAGGTTGAGGTTGCAGTGAGCAAAAATCGTGCCACTGCTCTCCAGCCTGGGCAACAGAGCAACACCCTGTCTCAAATATATATGTAGTAGCTTAATTTGTGTTAGACTGGCGAGAGCACATAGCCCTACTCTCTTAGACTATGTCTTCAAGTTCAGTGACAAAGACTAGTTATTGGAAGGAACTCTTTCTCACAGTCTGAGTTCTTAGATTGTAAACCATGGAATTTCAAATGCTGGCTCCATAATTAATCGTTATTTGTCCTTGGACAATATTATTAAATTTGAAGTCTGTTTACTCTGATGTTATATATAACATCTAGTAAATCCTCATAATGAAGTTACTTCTAATCATTTTTATATTGATGTATTTGATAGATTATTATCCCTAAAAGGTCAAGGGTAAATACTTGTTTAAATTCTCTGATATATCTTGAGCATCCAAACTATTGCTTTGCACAGAGTAGGCCTTCAATATATATTAATATCTTTGATAAATAAATACATATTAAGGGGAATATTTTAAGATTTGGTACAATTTGCTGACCTGCAGAAAGATATTGATTCACTGTGAAGGCTAGATCTGATGTGGTTATACTGAGTTATAGGGCAAAGGAGCTGCAATCTAGAGTAGCATTGATGAAGAGAATTTAGTGGGTTTTCATGATAAAAAAGGAGACATATTTTTGAGGTAACAAAATAATAGAATCAATATAAAATGACAAAAATGGACATGAGAAGCCTAAGGGTCTAGAAACTACCTGCTTCTGATTCATTACATCCTGACCTTACTCCCCATGCCCCATCCCCCCACACACATGCAAAACAAATCTGTGGGTTAAGGTATGGGTCACATATTATTGGTAATGTAGTCAATACTGATGTTGTTCATAGGAAAAGAAGTAACTTCAAGGGAGAATGAATACATTCACTTTAAGCAGGAGAAGTCTGCAATACTCTTATGGCATGTATCTATCATCTATCTATCAATCATATCAATGCAAAAGGAGATAGGAACTGAGTAAAGAATCAGATGATACAAATATTATATTACAAATTATTATCATTATGATCAGAGATTGCCAAGGTTTTTCTGTAAACAACCAGATAATCGATATTTAGACTTTATAGGCTATTTGATATCTGCTACAACTACTCATCTTTGCCACTGTAGTGCAAAAGTAGCTACAAGCAAGGCATAAGAATGAAGAGCGGCCATGTTCCAACAAAACCTTATTTATAAAACAGCTGCTAGGCTGGATTTGGCCCATGGGAAAAGTTGCCAGCAAATAAAAATACAGGACAGTCAATGGTATTTGCATGTCATAAAAATATTTTTAAAGTGTAAGTATGTCTCAGATATTGTATGGAACACATTTATACTAAGAAAAAGGTGTTGTTTATTTGAAATTCAAATTTTGCTGGGCCTCCTATATTTTATCAAGCAACCCTACCCAGGAGACATAGTTTTCCAATTCCTGATTTAGAAACTTGAAATCAGAAAAAATAATGAGACTTAACCATGGCAAAATTGTATAGTAAAAGTAGGAATAATCAAACGGGAATCTGTGAATATATATTTTAGCCATTATTTATTTATTCATTTATTTATTTATTTATTTATTCATGTGTTTGTTTGTTTATTCAAGACAAGGTCTCACTTGGTCACCCAGCACTATCATGGCTCACTGTAACCTTGAACTCCTGGGCTCAAGTGATCCTCCAGCCTCAGCTTCCTGAGTAGCTAGGACGACAGGTGCCCATAACCACACCTGGCTAATTGAAAAACTCAAACTATTAGTGTCCACTCAAAAAGTGGGCTAAGGACATGAATAGACAATTCTCAAAAGAAGATGTACATTGCCAACAAACATGAAACAGTGCTCAACATCACTAATGATCAGGGAAGTGCAAATCAAAACCACAATGTGATACCACCTTACTCCTGCAAGAATGGCCATGATCAAAAAATCAAAAAATGATTTATGTTGGTGTAGATGCAGTAAACAAGGAACACTGCTACACTGCTGGTGGGAACGTAAACTAGTAAAACCAGTATGGAAATCAGTGTGGTGATTCCTTAAAAAACTAAAAGTAGAACTACCATTTGATCCAGCTATCCCACTACTGGGTATCTAGCCAGAGGAAAATAAGTCGTTATACAAAAAGGATACCTGCACATGCATGTTTGTAGCAGCACAATTCACAATTGCAAAAATGTGGAACCAACCTAAATGCCCATCAATTAACTAGTGGATAAAGAAACTGTGATATATATAAATATATATATCATATATATATCATATATATTATGTATCATATGTATCATCATATATATGATATATAATATGTATCATATATCATCATACATAAGATATATATATATTATATAAATCATATATATGATGGAATACTACTCAGCCACAAAAAGGAATGAATTAATGGCATTCACAATGACCTGGGTGAGACTGGAGATGATTATTCTAAGTGAAGTAAATCAGGAATGAAAAACCAAACATTGTATGTTCTCACTCATAAGCTGGAGCTAAGCTATGAGGAGGCAAAGGCATAAGTATGACATAATGGACTTTGGGGACTCGGGGAAAGAGTGGGAATGGGGTGAGGAATAAAAGACTACAAATTGGGTGCAGTGTACACTTCTCGGGTGATGGGTGCACCAAAATCTCAGAAATCACCACTAAAGAACTCATTCATGTAACCAAACACCACCTGTTCCCTAATAATCTATGGAAATTAAAAAAAGTTTTAATCTTTAAAAAATAAAAAAAGAAAGAACCATCCCAAACCTAATAATTAGAATTGGCAAAAATAAATTAGCTTACTGTAAATAAGTTAGTAAGAATTGGTTCAGTAGATTTCAAGCTACTTATTAGAGATTGTGTATTTTGAAATTAGAAACCGTATAATTTTGAATATCAAGTTACAGAGGATGAGAGGATTATTAAAAAGTTGATTATTAAAAAAGTAATCTGAGAATATGAAGAATAATCTCAAATTTATCAATAATTTGTTGTATCACTTGAAAGCGAATCATTTAAATTAAAATAAATAAATAAGATTATAAATAAACAAACAGTAGCATTATTACTTCACTTAAACAGTACTTCTTATGGTGTAAATATTGACTCCATTGTGGAGGTTCAGTTGAGAATTGTTTTTAACTATTTTCTAAAGACTTTGTGTACAATTTACTTAATTATATCCTTGAATGTCTGATCCAATTCACCAACTGAACTCTTTAGTACTGGAATTTCTTTTCTTTACTGTTATTATTATTTTTTTGAGACAGGGTCTTGCTTTGTTGCACAGGTTGGAGTAAATGTGCAATCTTAACTCACTGCAGCCTTCACTTGCCCAGTTAAATTGATCCTCCACCTCAGTCTTATGAATTCCTGGGACTACAAGCATACGCCACCAGACCTGGCTAATTTGTATGTGCTTTCTGTTGTTGTTGTTGTTGTTGTTGTTGTTTTCTCCTAGAGAAAAGTTCTCACTAAATTGCGCAGGCTGGTCTGGAACTCCTGGGCTCAAGCAATCTTCCTGCATCAGCCTCCTAAGGTGTTGGAATTACAGGCCTGAGCCACTGTGCCTGGCCTAGAATTTTTTTATAGAAAGTTATTTTTTAATAATGAGTTTAATTTAATTAATATAGTTATTCAGATTTTCTGTTTTATCTTTTAATTTTGGTAAGTTGCATTTTTTCAGAAATGTGTGCCTTTTACTCAGTTGTCACATTTGTCAATATAAAGTTATATTCCCTTATTACGGTTATAATATGTGAAGGGATAAAACCTGCTTTATTCCCAACATTACTGGATTATTTTTAATTCATTTTTTTGACCAATGTAGCACAGGCTTGATCAATGTTGTTTAAAGTAAATAGCTTTTGACTTTGTTAATTTTTTTCTATTTCACTGACGTATGCTCGCAAATTTACTAACGAGTCATTCTATGAAAGAGAAACATGCACATGCACATTTATAGTAGCACAATTCTCAATGGCAAATACATGAAATCAACCTAAATACCTATGAACCAATGAATGGATAAAGAAAACACGGTATATATACACCGTGGAATACTACTGAGCCATCACACGAAATGAAATGATGGCCTTTGCAGCAACTTGGGTGGAGCTGGAGGCCATTATTCTAAGTGAAGTAACTCAGGAATGGAAAACCAAATATTGTATGTTCCCACTTACAATAAGTGGGAGCTAAGCTATGAGGATGTAAAGGCATAAGAATGGTATAATTAACTTTGGAAATACAGGAAGCAATTTGGGAGGAGGTTGAGGGATAAAAGACTACATATTGGGTACAGTGGACACTTCTCGGGTGATGGGTTCACCAGTCTCAGAAATCACCACTAAAGAATTTATCTATCTAACCAAAAACCACCTGCATCCCAAAAACTATTACATTAAACAATTATTTTTTTCCTTTCTTCTAATTGTTTAGTTTTCTCTTGCTCTCATATTTCTTTTTTACTAATGTTATAAATTGAAAGCTGACTACAGATTTTTATCTTTCTTCACTTTTAATATGAAATTTTAAGTCATAATATTCCTCTAAGCACTGCTTTTGCAACATCACACTTATTTTGATGTCTTGAATTTTCTTTATAATTCACTTAAAATATTTTCTAATTTTCTTTGTGATATTTTTCTCTGCCCTATGCATTTTTTCAGAATCTGTAATTTTCAAATATTTGGGAATTGCCTAAAGAAATTATTTTATTGATTTTGAATTTCTTAGTTTGGTGTTCATAGGATACATTCTCTATAATTTAAGTCTTTTAATACTGTTATCATAGAAAACCTTATGGTTGAAGGAAATTATCTGACCTCTTTCAATGCCATGTAGCTGAAGTATAGGAAGTTACCCAGAAACAGTTCTTGAATTAATTGAAACTGAAAACTATTATTCTCAGAATTTAAATTCATCAAATTAAACATTCACAAGAAACAATGTCGGGAATGTAACATATCTCTTTAGCTCTAGACATACATATTCTAAGAGAGTAAACATTCAATACATTATTTTATGCTTCCAGAATATCACACTGACCTTCATGCACTAAAACACCTATAATCATTTTAACATTTTTCTGAACATCTTCAAGTTGCTGATGATTAGTTCAAACTTTGAAGATGGATGGTGTAGGGAATAGATTTAATTTCAGTATTTGAGGCAACCTGAGAATACTACTGAAACAAAAATACCGTGTTTCATCTGCTTCAAAGGCCTACAAATATTTAATACTGAAATCTCCGATTTTAAATGTGGCAACCTTGGGAGGCCTTATTTTACAGTAACTTGATTTTTCAAATTCTAGGAGAGGCTTGGGCTCTTTATGAGTACTGGAAATCTAGAGTGACAGGAAATGAAATAAAGTACAGTGATGATAGTGGCTATTGTGTAATTTAACAAATCTACTTAGAAGAGGTTTTTCCCTTCATATGGAGAAATTATTTATTACATGTAATTACTCCTGAATATAGAACATTCACAATCCCTTCCTTCCTTCCTTCCTTCCTTCCTTCCTTCCTTCCTTCCTTCCTTCCTTCCTTCCTTCCTTTCTTCCTTCCTTCCTTTCTCTTTCTTTCTTTTCTTTCTTTCTTTCTTTCTTTCTTTCTTTCTTTCTTTCTTTCTTTCTTTCTTTCTTTCTTTCTTTTTCTTTCCTTCTTTCTCTTTCTTTTCCTTCTCTTTCTTTCTTTCTTTCTTTCTTTCTTTCTTTCTTTCTTTCTTTCTTTCTTTCTTTCTTTTCCTTTCTTTCTCTCTTTCTTTCTTTCTTTCCCTCCTTCTTTCTTTCTTTCTCTCTCTCTCTCTCCCTCTCTCTCTCTCTCTCTCTTTCTTTCCTTCTTTCTTTCCTTCTTGATGGAGTTGCCCAGTTGATGGTTGTTGCCCAGGCTGGAGTGCAACAGCCTCAGCTCACCACAACCTCCGCCTCCCAGTTTCAAGCCATTCTCCTCCCTCAGCCTCCCCAAGTAGCTGGGGTTACAGGTATGAGCAACCAAGCAACGCCCAGCTAATTTCATATTTTTAGTAGAGATGGGGTTTCTCCGTGTTGTTCAGACTGGTCTCGAACTCCCTACCTCAGGTGATCCGCCTGCCTCAGCCTCCCAAAGTTCTGGGATTACAGGCGTGAACAACCATACCCAGTCAGTAGCATATTTCATAATAAATAAAATAGACTTTCTGCATAGAAGGCTATAATAATTGATAATTAAATTTAATTACTCAAAATTCCAAATTCTGGCCAAAAATCCTATGTGTGATTTTTTTAGGGTTGATGATAGATTTTAATATTTGATTAGGCTTATATTTTGATTTACAATTTCCCAATCTATTGTTCATATCTCTCAAGTAGTTCAGAACTCATAGAAGAAAAATTATTTATGATACAGTTTCTGATTTTGACACCAGAAACTATGCTAAACCCTTTATAGGATGAATTATTTTCATGATCAAAATTGACTTTTATAGTATGTTCTATTTTATCAGTTTTACAAATGAGGCTTTAATTATTACACAATTGCACTATTTTTCAAAAATCTAACAGAATTATTTCAAACTTTTAGATGACAGCTTTAAAAATATGTATTTTATAAAAAATGCATTTATTTTAATACAGATTATAATAATAAAAATGTATGGCCTAAGGAAATTTGCCTATAAATCAATGTTTGTCTTTAAGGCCTTCACACTTTTTGCACCTAAGATGTGCACTTTACTTTTGGTGTTTGTTTCTTGCTTATTTCTTCTTATTTTCTTTCTTTATTCAGAAAGCATTTATTAATCGAATGACAACTCTATTCTGGGGATGGAAAAATATAGAAATACAGACAAAAAGCTCATAGAAAGACAAACTACCTTATTACAAATAAATTTGGTGTTTATTGGAGAATAGATGATGTGTCAAAGTATAGGCATGCCCACAATAGAATGATGTTTGAACAAAGTCTAGAAGAATGTAAGTTCATTAGGGCTGCAGAAAAGCAAAAATGTGTATACTAGGTAAAAAGAAAAACATGATCTAAATCATAAGAGGCTGTCATGACTGGGAAAATACCAAATATGAATGGAAATAAGTATAATTCTTAAGTTTATCTTACTGTTCTCTTTTTTAAGCCTGGAATTACTTTTGCTTATCAGGTGATCATTGTGGGTCATTTTTCCTTTTGGTAATTAGGTTATGCATATATTGTTATATTTAATTTATTTAACAACTTTTTGAAGAGAAAGTAAGAGAATTGACTTTGACCCTGTTTTACCAAAGAAAAACAATGTCTGAATTTTATGACATTTGGAAAAAACACATGAGAAAATGATAACACTAATTTATATAAATCCTAAAGCTAAAGTACAAATATTATGGAGGACATATTAGAGAAGATATACATAATTATAAGAGATAAATTCTATTTCACTGTTATTCTTTCATCTAATGAAAACACAATGAAAGTACTGAACAAAAAGAAGAATATTTTAACATTAAGATTAGTAGTATTAGAGAATAAGGAGACGTGAATGGGCATACTTGTTCAAAGAAGTCAGTCTAAGAGATAATGCAAATTTAATGTGATGTAATATCAAGTGTCTACTTCAAAAGAAGTAAAATTGCTTTCAGTGCCTGCTGAACTACCTATAGATTATCTATTTTAGACTCCTAAGTTTAAAATTAACTTAAGAATGGATGAATGACTAAGGTAATAAAAAATTTGAAAGCAGTGTTATCTGAGGAACACAAAAGCGGTTGAAAGTTAATATTTGGAATACAATGGTGAATTTTCTTCAAATATTTGAAAATCTTTATGTAGAAAAAGAAAAATACTTGTTCTGTTTTTATTCAGACAGTGGAATTAGGATGACTGTTGTTGAAAAGTATATTAAAACTTATGAGAATTCTAGAGTGGTAGTTAATCAAAAATAAAATGTATAATATGACAGACTGATGAGCTTTCTTTTACTAAAAAAGATACCAATGAGACTGATTCACAATCTACAGTCTTGTAGAGGGAGACTGATTTTGAAAATGTATGCCTGGTGTAATTTAAAAATTTTCACATTAAGAATATGCAACTAAAGATCAAAAGGTATGCATAAAATATTAATTTACGTTTAATTTACTATGTTTTTATTTATCTTGCTTAATCATTTTAAGTTCAGGTTTAATACATTTGTTATTTTCTTTGATTGTTCAAAGTGTTAGATGCTGAATTCAAATACTTTTAATGCATATTAATTTCCACAAACTTTAATAGAACATTAAGTTAAAAATATGCACTGACAATTTTGAAAAAATAATATATTTATGTGGTTATTACATGTATCTAATATTTTCAGAGCAAATGAGACAACTTCCTGAAACATGGAGAAGGAAGGTGATACAGCTTGCTTTCTCAATCTACGAACAAATGGAAATACTATTCTGGATAATTTGTAATTAAAACTTTTAGGTTAAAAAAAATTGGAAACAAGTAAAATCAAGTAATCTGGAAGCTGAAATTATGATGACAAGGACCTAGACTGGGGCAGAAATTCTGAACAAAGTTAAGGACAATAGACTGTGCCCTGAGCCTGTATAACTCATAAAGAGAAAACTGAGATTCTCAATAAATGCTGGGTATCTAAAATACAGTAACATTCTCATAATAGGAACTAAAATTATCCCTTCTTACTGGGCCTGGTGAGGCAGAAAGGAGGTGTACAATAGATACAGACCTCTGAGAGACAGAGAGAAAAAAATTTCCTTGTGAGAAGTCAAAATCTCAAACCAGCGTAGGAGTTAGTGAATCAAAATGTATTCCACCCACACATGCAGGGATCCAAAAATGAAAAATAACATAGTGTCCAGAACTGTTAAATTCTCCTGTGAGAGCAGACGGAAAATTTAAAACTGCTCTATGGAAAAGTTTTCTGAAAAATGTATTAACAGTAGACTTTCATCAAAACAAAAAATAACCAACCCAGCAAATCTATTTTAACTGAGCTTACAATCAAAAAGAACATATCTTAAGAGAATACAACAACAAAACACAACAAAACAAAACAAAGAAAAACTAAACTCATTGTAAGGAAATATTATAACTATAACGCATAAAATAGCTCTCTCAAAGAAACACAAAACAAAAGAAGTCTAAAAATAGAGTGAGTACATGTATTTTAAAATTGTAAAAGAATTTTATTTTCTCCCTAGGCAACAAAAAGGATAACATTGAAAAAAAATCATTTTTATAAAGAAATAAATAAACTATCTTGAAATGAATACACATTTTATAAGCACCCAATTTTCTGCATCAAATCTCTTTTCGTTCAAAATAACTGGATCCCTGCAGTGAAACCCTTTCTTAATACATCAAGGATTTACTCCTCCAGAAACTCTTATGCAGTAATGTATGTGTTAATAATATTCATGTAATAATGAATTGATTTTAAAAAGTCTTCTTGGGTATAGAGATTGATTAATGTTTCAACTTAAAATTTAGAGTATCTTTAATCATATTTTTAACAAGTTTATTTTAGTACATTGTTATGGCTAGCTCCTTAAATATGCTAATATAATTATACAGCATTAGAATATCTGTGCATCTATTAAATCACTTGTTGACAGATTTGGAAACATGTTTTCAATATGAGAGCAATCTATTATAAATTGATAACACCAACACCTGATATCACACTAGGGTTGTTGCTGTTGAAATGCCTTCTGTCTTTCATATTAACTCCTAGTACTGCTTTAGCAAGTGGTAAATTTTAAATAGTCTAATTATTATTATTATTGGCATCATGTAGTGGAATTTATGGCCTAATTATATTTTGACAGATAAAGAAACAGTAATCTCAGTTACAGTAAAATTCTGACAGCATGTCTAAAGGACTAATTTAGGCACTGGCCACCCTATATCACGAGTAGCTAATCTTGGAGGTCACATTTTGTCTGTCTTGCTTATGTAAAATCATCTAAAATAACTACCAGGATGGATTTGTTGCAGGACTTTTCCTTAGTTCAGCTAAAGACTGGTTTCTTTGTCCCACAGCCAGGAAAATCTGGGCTTGCAGACAATTTGAATGGTGAGTAAGACAGGGTTTTATTGGGTGAGAAAGAAGAAAAAGGGGAAACAGGGACTCTCGCTAGGCCAGGATCCCAGCTGGAGTGCTTCCCGCCTTGCCATTTAAATCCCTGGTTCCATAAAAGAAGAAGAAGAGCCAGGCTCCTCCCTGCTGCAAATGTCGTGAACTTCCCAAGGCTCTACCTCAGTGGGCAGGCTGGTTGAAGTCTCTCCAGGGACCACTTCCCACCTGACTGGCTCAGAATAAAGTTGTGTAAAATGGAATGAAGAATGATGGGTATGTATATCTCACTTGTAATAAACCAGCACAAAATGTAGTGTCCTCTCCCCTTCCAAAAAGCTGTTTATTGTCTGTCATTATTCTGTGTTTTAGCACGGCATTCTTATCTGATTTGGCCAAGCTGTGACAGATTTACCTAGAATGGGTTAACTCATCTAACTCATACATCTGGATTCTCAGCTAAAAAGGCAGGATGTCTGAAGCCACTCTCCATTTGATCTCTTATTAGTCAATGGATGGATGCATCTTGATTAGTTCATGTAGTGAAAGAAGAAATTCCATCAGAACTTGAGGAAATGTTCCAATGAGCAAATACTTTTAATTTCTCTACCTGTGTTATATCTACGGGTATCCTACAGAACAAGGCAAGTTATACGGCCAAACCCACATTCAAAATGAAAGAGAATTACCCAATGTGTGTATAGAAAGTGACGCTTTATAGAACATATGTTTAAATATTTCTATAGGGTAGATTAATAGGGGAAAAATATAGTTTATGCGTGTTTTATAATTTTTTACATTGACCAATAAGATCATCAAACTAAAACCTTTTGCTCCAATTAAATGCTAAGCAATCAAGTATCTCATTTTATTTTGCTTTTGTATACATACTTTTCTAGATTGAGATAAATCACTGATCAGGAATCTCAAAATTTGCATTTGTACTTCATATTTTAAACAAAAAATGGAGATTATAGATTATATGTCAGTGTTTAAAAATATAATTTAAATCTTGCTGAATCTGACTCACTCAGATTCACTTGCTAGACAAAAATAAATAAATACATCAAAATTTTAAAAATATATATTTAAAGCCCTTCCTGTGTGGCTGCTATCCTTTTATGACATTTTTGTGATTTCTCTCTTTATATGTGGGTCAAAAATTATTTGAACTTCCCATTCATTAATCAAAGATGACTTTCAGTTTATTAAATCCAACAGCCCCCTGTAAATTATAAGCAAAAACTCATCTGGTTCTTCTATATCTGTATTAATGTGTATTTTTTTCTTCTAATAGGTTCTTTATCTGTCCCTTAGATATTGTTTATTTCAAGATTCCTGTCAAGATCTATTTTCTTCTCAAATATGCTCTACCGGAGTAATCTTATGGTTCCTGGTAAGAATTAAACATTAATTATTCTTGATTTATATGTGTAAATCCATCCTTTCAGTTGAGTTTCAGGCTTAAATTTCTATATTTCTGCATCACTAGCATGACTATACCTCATCAATATCTCAAATTCAATGTGCCCAAAGTTTTATGTCGTTTTCTTCAAAACCTAGTCTTCTTTTTGTCTACCTCATTTTGAGCAGAGAGAGACCTTCCCCACAGGAGCCTTTGTTGACTAATGTTTTCTTTACTCAGTCTAAACAATAAACAATGTATTCAGTCTAGACAATTTTCTAACTCCAAAAGCACTTTAAACCTGCAAATATTCTTTTGTAAACGTTGCTAAATTTCAAATTTCTTTCATTCATCATTGATGCTTCTGACATCTACAATATAACTTTATTTTTAATCCCCTTTGCACTTTCTTGCTCTTAACATCTGCTCTGAATCCCCAACCCCTGGACCATGGACTGCTGCTAGTCCATGGCCTATTAGGAACTAGGCCTCCACAGCAGAAGGTGAGGGGAGGGCAAGCATTACTGCCTGAGTTTGCCTCCAGTCAGATCAGCTGTGGCATTAGATTCTCATAGGAGCGTGGACCCCATTGTGACTGCACATGTGAGGGATCTAGGTTGTGTGCTCCTTATGATAATCTAATGCCTGATGATATGAGGTGGAAAAGTTTTATCCCCCGCCCTCATCCTTGGAAAAATTGTCTTCCACAAAATTGGTCCCTGGTGCCAGAAATACTGGATACTACTCATCTAGAGCATAGAGGCAAGGGGTTCTGTTAAAATCCTGACATAAACAATACAGTCACTGTATTAAGCCGTTCTTGCATTGCTATAAAGAAATCCCTGAGACTGGGTAATTTATAAATAAAAGAGAATTAATTGCCTCAGGGTTCTGGAGGCTGTATAGGAAGCATAGCGCCAAATTCCTTCAGCTTCTGGGAAGGCCTCAGGGTGCTTTTACTCATGGGGGAAGGCGTGTCACATCATGAATGCAAGAGACAGAGAAAGATTAAGAGAGAGAAAGAGATGCCACACACTTTCAAACAGCCAGATCTCATGAGAACTTGCTCATTATCGCGAGGACAGCACCAAGCGTATGATGCTAAATGATTCATGAGAAATCAGCTCCCAGGGTCCAATCACGTCTTACCAGGCCCCATGCCCAGTACTGGGGATTCAACATGGAATTGAGGCAGGGACAAATATACAAACTCTATCAGTTATCCTCTCAAAGAATTATGCAGTCCAACATGTCAATAGAGCAAAGGTTGAAAAATCCTGGCATACATTGATTCATTTTGGTGATGTGTGAATTTAGGTATGAAATATAACAAACCTGCACATACTGCACATGTAGAACTGAAAAAAATACATAATTAAAAAATAATAAAATAAAAAACAAAAACAGTAACATTTTGATACATACAGTTTCTTTGATATAATGCTTAAAATCAGACATTTTAGGAAAAAAAAATCCTGGGATTTGCAGATGTGTCAGAATAAGCAAAATGCTTTAGAAAAAGCTAAACTCCCTTTTCTGGGAGAAATGTTGAAAGCTTGTATTGGTGGCTTACAATTTTTTTTTTTTTTTTTACATATTGTTTCTTTACTATCAAAGAATGAAAAATATAAGTAAAAATACTTGTAGACATTTTCTTAAATTTGTGAGCCAATTTTTTACAATTATCTTCTCCTCTGAAGAGCAAATAAATCAGAAATTGAAACTAGGTATAATCATTCACTGTGCCCTTCAAAGGAGGATTAGAAAGGGCACATATTTGATTCAACATGAATCTCTTAAAATGCTGGAAAGATTAGAGATTCAAAAAGCAAATTTGTGTGCTTGCTTTGGTTATTATATTCTCTTCTATTGTAAAAAATTTAAGAGAGATTACATAAAAAGCATCCTTAAAGCATGAGGACATCATCTCGTGGTAATACTTGTAAAGCTTTTGAAATTCCTAACATGACATATAATGTTATATTTTAATTGCGAAAGTTTTTTACCTGGCTATCATGGATTATCAACAATCTTCTTATCAACTCCCTTGTCAAAAATTAAATCCAATATACATTAGGCCTTGTATCTTTTTCAAAAATACCCCATGTATAAACTTTTTAAAACTTTTAACCAGAGGAGATTAGAAAAAAAAAAAAAGAATAAATCTAAGTGTAAACTAAATTTGTTATAATGTCTGTTTAAACAATTCATATTGAAATTCACTAATGGCTCCTAATTAAATTCAACAAATACTGCTTACACCTAATATGTGCACAGAATTATGCTAGGACTCTTGCAAAACAGTCAGTAAAAATTTGCCTGATATAAAATAATTTACTGTTTATTAAGAGAGATGAGATGCATACTCACAAATAAACATGAAAAAGTAGAATATCATTAATGTTATTGGTAGATATGAGAAATAATAAGTTAAGGCCTCATTTGATATATTTAAATTGTCTGTCCCAGTCTGCTCCGTCTGCTATAACAGAATGTCCTAAACTGAGTGGTTTAAAAGACATTTATTTTTTACAATTCTGATGTCTGGAGACCAAAATGCCAGCTGATTTGTTCCTGGTGAGTTCTGTTTATGGCTTTCAAAAGGTTTTCTTCTTACCATATCCTCATAGGGCAGAGGGAAAGAGGGAAGAGGGAAAGAGAAAGAGACACACACACATGGAGAGAGAGAGAGAGAGAGAGAGACAGGGTGAGAGAGAGAGAGATTGAGACATTATCCCCTTATGTCTATTTGCCTATGGATACTAATCTCACTCATAAGGGCTCCAACCTCATGACTTAATTACCTCCCAAAGACTCCATCTGTAAATATAATGAAACTGGAAGTTGAGGGCTGCAACATATGAATTTGGGGAAAGCACAAAGCCTTGTCCTTCAATATATAGAATTTCGATAGGTTGATTTGAGGGAGAATATCAATACCACTAGGGCCCAAATAGCAGTTACCATTAACAACAATGTTCTTTGTGCATCCCCTTCCTGCCTCTCAATCTTGAGTAATATGGGTTATTTAGCTATGACTATAACTAAAAATATTATCAACTATTGAAAGGTAAAGGGATTATGTATGGTCTGGTAATATGAATTTGGCAAAAACATTAAATCCACTTCAGAAAAGAATTTTTATGACATTTTTTCACATGACATATGATGCTTCGAATAGAATTTTATGTGGAAATGATGTCTATATTTTGCAATAATTTCTTATGCAAATGGCTTACATTTGAAAACACCCTGAACAATATTTTTTTTTTTCTAAAAAAAAAAAAAAGGGCAGGGAGAAAACATGCCAAATATCTGACTCAAATTTTTTCCTTTGTTCTAGCAGTCTTTTAGAAGCAATAATGGCACTAATAATTAAGTCAATAAGAACATTTGGTGAGTAAATAAAACATTCAGTGAACAGCATTTCCAAATATCACCATTACAGAGTGCAACTCAGAGTGTTTGCTAGAGGCTGAACCTCATACTCATCAAGGAATCTAGTGAATGACGGTTAATGCAAAGTCAGTTTCAGCAGAGGCTGTGGTGTAAGAGCTAATTAGGTTGCATCAAAAATAATATAATGTATTAGCTTGGCCAGAAATTCACTTCTGAATATTGACTTTCTCTTATGAGATATTATAAAAATGTTTTACACATATTAATTGCTAATATGAGACTTACATTTTAAAGCTGAGATAGTGGCAAAATGCAATTTTGCATATAAATGTAATATTTTCTATGTACTACCAATTTGACTCAAAGGAAACACACACAAAAAGTTTCACCAAGTGAATTATGACCAAAATGAGATAAATTTGTTAAAAAAAAACCTCAAATGAAAGAGACAAATATAGTTCAAAGATTCAGGTTCAATATTTGTTTATAAATATCTATTAAAATATATAAGACTAATAAATTTGTAAATTACATAGAATTTGTGACATGCACAGACATAAAAATAATGAAACAGATTTTAAAATATAGGAAAAACCAAACATTTGGTTAGTTTTTAGTTACAATAGAAACCAAACAAAATGGAGAAAGCTCTAATAAGAAATCCAGTTCTCCTAGGAAGATACCATAATCAAGGGGAGAGACAGCCATGTGTTTCTGGCTATATGACTATACCTGCCTGGAATGGAATTACAGCTATGCTGAACTTGGCAGGTGGGTGAGGGAGGGAGAGAATCATGGTTCAACTGACACATTCTCACTGTCTCTACCTAGTATTAGTGGATTTTTTTAGAATATATATTTCTTCATCTGTAGTATTCCCTTATGACAATTTCCAGATAATTTAAATGGTTGTTTTTTCAATTCTGACCAGATATGCTTGTTTCAGTCCACAGAGCATCTCACAATACCATCCAGAATGGGGGATTCCAATATAAAATTTGAAAACAGTTAAAAATACCACTGTCTATTTTATGAAAATAATTCCTAAAAGTCTCTCTCCTTTCTCTCTCTCTCTCTGTCTCTTTTTTTCAGGCACAGTGATTGGGAACACTGCAGTTTGCCTCGATCACTCATACTACTACCGCTTATTTGTAGGGTGGAAAACCTGAAAAGACTGTAGGCTACTACTCCAATCCTAAAGCAGGGACGTCATTCAGAAAGAATCATGCGACTGCTTCTGCCCCAAACTCAGAACCATTGCTTAGAGATTTTGCCCAGGGTGAAATGCAGGAAAAACAAACAAACAAACAAACAAATAAACAAACAAAACTCTGAAAGTTTCCCAAAGAAATGGATTTTATTAAAACAGAGTTTGAAAAAGTTAAAACATAAGGGTACCCTCAAAAACAATGGGAAATTGTTGACAGGTAACTAAGAGAAGAAGAGAAGGGTGGTAACTTCATGAGATATACAAGTTAAACCATTGGTCCAGTAGTTTGCCAGAAAGAATGATGAACACACTGCTAAGAAAATGCCTTTCTGGGGCCGAAAAAAACCAAAATCTTACCTCAAGAGCTGCCCCTTCAAAATAATCTATATTTAATTGGTATTAAACTAATAATAAAGAAAAGAAGCCGCTCAGAAAGAAAACTCAGACTCATATGGCTTCCCTGGTGATTCTCCCAATCATTTAAAGAAGAATTAATACCAATACTTCACAAGTTCTTCCAAGAAAAATAGAGGAACATGTCCCAGAAAATTTTATGAGGTCAGTATTATGTCGACATCAAATCCAAAAAAAAAAAAAAAATCAACAAGGAAACAAAATAAAAACTACAGACCAATATTTTTTATGAATGCAGCCAAAAAATTTCTCAACAAAATACTAGCAATATAGAAAAAGAATTCTGAACCATATCCAAGAGGGAATTTTTTCATAATTGAAAGTTAGTTTAATATCTTAAAATCAATTAATGTAATAAACCATACCAAATGAATAAAGGGAAAAATTACATGATTATTTTAATAGAGGTAGAAAAAGCATTTGACAAACTCCACCAATTCTTTATCATAAAGACACTCAACAAAGTAGGTAAAGAAGATAAATTCCTTAACCTGTTAAACAGCATCTAGGACAAACCCACAGCAGACATCAAAGTTAAGGGTGAAGGATGGAATTCTTTCCTCGTCTTAACCATCCACCAATGTACACTTCATGAGTAAACTGTATATTTGGTTTGATAAAATTTTGTTTTATGTCATAATTATTTGATACTATTTGTATGCCTAAAATTTCTCAAAATATATTTTAAATTTACTGGCACTGCATTTTTCATAGAATGAACATAGGCGTATATATGTCATCTTCGTCATTCCTAAGGTAATTTTTTTCATATTTGCCATTTTCTTAGATATTTACTATTTTCTTGTTTAAGAACATCATATCTGTTACTGTTTTGTAGGCTTCTAAACATATACACTTTCTGTTTTCTCTTTGGTTTCTATTCATTATTACATGAGATTATCATTATTATTTTGAAAAGACATACAGTTTTATTTTAATTTCGTGAGTTAGTGTCTCATTTCAAACTTAGTGATTTTCAAACGTTTTCTGAAGCGATGGGTTTAGGCTGTAATAATACCTCCATGTGTCACTATACTCACGTATCTCATGGTTTTTATATAGCATACTTAATGTCCTTCAGTTGAGGCCATATTTCCTTTGTAACATATTCTTTAAACCAAAAGTTATTTAGTAGGGCTTTTATTAAATTTCCAAATTTATTGGTGATATATAACACTATCTTTACAATTTCTAATACAATTGACTTTCTTAGACAATATAATATATAATTGATATTTAAAATTTTGAGTAATTTTGTTATCTATTAAGTTGTTGCTTCTGTAGATGTGCCGCTATATTTTTAAATTCTTATTTCCTGTTATCTTTTTGAGGGCAGAGTGCAACATAATTCATCATGTCAAACATGTTTATGTTATGCAAATTTCTTATTTGTGTTGCACAAGTGTTCTGTGCATTCTATATTTTTGTCCATCAAATATAGAGAAAATACAGGTCTAATATTCTGATGTTATTTTGTTATATTTTTAAATCATTGAATTCAAAGCTTTAAATTTATAATTGTTATTAACATTGATATGGAATTAAATTTGTCTTTCATAAATGTATAGATACATATACTAAATTAATGTATTCATGCATACACAAATACATAACTATATGACTTTAGTCCTGACCATTGTCATTCAATGCCAGATGAAAGCAAAACAAAATGCCTCTTTATAACTGAATCCACTCCCATAAGCATTTCCTCCCATCCAATGTATTTTTTCTTTAAGAGAGAAGACTGAATATCAAAAGTACTGGTGATTATGACTAAATGTAATTACTTTTCAATTCAGTTGTACATGTCTTGACACTTAACAGCAGAATTATCTGTTCTGTAATGAAATTCACCTATTTTTATTCTCCTCTTTTTGCACTTGTTTACGTCCCTTCCTTTTCCTTCCCTTTCCATTCCATGCTAACATGAAAGATATTGAAATATCACTCAAATAATCTTATTTTTCTTAATTCTTATTTTAAGTATCTAGTTGAGGAGGCCACTAATAGCAGGATTAGGCAGACATAATTGTTCAGAAAGTATAACAAAAGACAAACGTGCTCTCACCCCAACATATTTCTGATGGATTAAATCATGAGTATATATACAAAGTTGAAAACAATAATTACAAACTATACCCACAGCAAGGCAAATATATTGACTTCAGAAGGTTACCAAAGTTTACTTTAGCTTTATTTTGCACAAAAGACATATTTAAATAAAATTACCATTATGTTGTTTTTTAAATTTTTTCATTGATAGTCCCATTTTGGCCAGTTTTGTCACAGCTTGGCTACCTAAAACCATATTCTTTCTGGTTCTCTTTTTTTTCTCTCCTCCCCCTCCCCCTCCCCATCCCTCTCCCACCTCCTCCTCTCCCTCCCTGCCCTAGTAACTGTCTCATCCTCCTCCTCCTCTCCCCCTTCTTCTCCCCCTCCCCTCCTTCTCCCTCTCCTCCTCCTTCTTCTTTTTTCCTTCTTTCTTCTTTCTTCCTCCTTTCTTCTTTCTTCTCTCTTCTTTACAGATTACTTTTGAAAATACCTTTTCAAATACCTTGTGCTGATTTGTGACTTACTGTGCATCCCAGCTCCTAAACCAATGATAGTTTTATTGTTTAAGGGTTCTTGGACCATTTTGGTCAAAGAGAAATATGATTTATAAATTTGTAATTTATCTATATTTCCTTTAGTATAATAGGAACATCTTTGTACTTTCATTTGGTCTAATAAGTGACAAACTGATATAAATGTGAGAAGGAATTACTAAATGCAGAGTTCACATTAACAATGAGTATTTGTTTTTCTGACAGACTTTTAAAGTAATGAGTTCTGTTATACATTGAAAACACTCTTGTTATTGAATGTTAATATATAGGCATTCAGGCTAAGGAACTTATGGTTAATAGTGAGCATTTAAAATTAACATCACCAATACCAAAGTAAAAAAGTTGAATGAGAAAGAGAAATATCAAATGAAGATTTACTATAATGATTTGGACATTAAAATGGGACTAAATACTTTACTAGTGAAATTGCTTTGAGAGTTTCAATACTATCAAAACAAAATTTTCATTTTTACTCTTCTCCTTTCCAAATGTTTTGGAGCTTTCAAATATGCCTAACATCATTAAGAATGATCAGGGACAATTGATTTTGAAACATCTATTTCCTATGAAAATGATCAAATATGTGTGAATATTACAGCTACTGACCCCCTACACATCCTTAAATAAATTATAAATATTATTATTTAATAGTGCATAATGGATTTTGTGACCCACATAATACATATATTAAATATTACACAGATTTAGAAAATTATACTCTATTTTATCATGAAAACAATTATACAGTTGAGTAATTTTTCATCTTGCTCTACCTATAATAAAAATAATTGAATTCAGAAACAGAACTGAAGATACAAAATAAATATGGCAAATGACTTCATAAGCTGCCTCTGTGCTGTTATAGAAGTATAATCGGTAGACATTATAAGATGTCAGCTTTTGTCTATAGTAAATATAATTTACACAGCAGAAAAGAGTGATTAGAGTCAGATCACTGAGAGGCTAATGAAAAAACCCATCGGCACAGATGTGGGTTGTTCATTTTGTAAAAGATCAAAGAAATGACAAGTTTTGAAGGTGTTTTACATGCTCTGAAACTCATCACAGACGTGTTCAATCATGCTCTGAGATACAAAGCAATCTAATCATTTTTATATTAAACAATTCGAATCCTATGGATTGTGGTTCACATTTAGAAAGGCATTAACTTGAGTCATTCATGGCTTGAAAGTTAAAGTATGTTTCATAAATTGGATTGTAAGAAACATTAACAAAAGAGGGCCCTAACAAAATATAACATAATAAAGGGATGGGGCTTGGAGGGAACAATAAACCAAGATCAAATTGCAAAACTAGATTGCAATAGCAAAATAAATAGATCTGATATGCTGTTAAAAATAACAGTCTACACATTTATTTTGAAAATGATGTCCTCTAATAACGATTAAAGGAGTTATTTGAAAAGTTTCATGTTTTTTTTTAGTCTAGTTAATGAGATTGTAGAACAGAAAACATTGCCAATGGCTAAGGAAGAGGGGATAAAAAAGAAAATTATGCTTCTTTAGCATCTTTTGGTAAATGAGTGCTGTTGCTTATTCATGTAAAATTGAACCATGAGGGAAAGCACGGAAAAGCAGAATTATCTAAGAAAACTGTTGGAAGGACACTTAAAAGAAACTAGGAACATATGAAAAAGGTGAGGTTAGCAATTACAAATTCTTATTTGTTACATAGATGTTTATCCATTTTATAATATTTTTCTAGTTAATAAATGCATCTGTGTAACATCCTGCATACTACTCACAGTATTTAAAATTCATTGAAGTGTTTGATATTTTGGAAAGAAAATTAAGCATGAAGATTTTAGAGAATCACTTTGAATATAGGATTTTTAACATTAATCAATAATAGAACATTTGCAGCAACATGTTTTCTTAAGATAAATATGTGTGCATTATTCTTGGCTAGAGTTCTGTTTTTTATGTGGAAAGTAAAATACAACTTTTGGAATTATTTTAAAAAGATATTGAAGGAATAATCCCAGAAACTAAAGTAAACTGATGTAGATAATTATAATAAACAAAGAATCAAACAAAAATGCAGCAATCGCAATACGAACAACAAAGCAAGAGTGAAAGTAAAATAAAGAGATCATTTCAATTTGCTTGATAGTAAGCCAGTATTTATCATTGCATTTATCTAATAAAGGGAAAGGGAAATTGAAAGATATAATGTCGTTTGTTCTGAATATACTTGGAAGTATTCAGAAAAATACAAAGTGGTAAAAAGAAAAACAAAACAGCACTAAATTTTCCGTGATAAACATTTTTTTAAAAAATTGAAGTTTCACAACAGAATGGCTTAAAAAAGGATATTAACTCTTTTACATCTGAGTAATTTGATACACCAAAGCCTCAATATTCACATCAGTAAAAAATAAAAATAACTTAATTCATTTTTGAATTTATATAAGCTAAATTTTACTTTGTGGTGTACAGTTCTATGAGTTTTGAAATACGCAAAAAGTAATGTATCCATAACCATAAATTTCCCTCATGCTGCTCCTTTTAGTCAACTTCTCTCCTCTAGCAACCACTTAAGTGTCTCATCCAGAAAGTCACAGAAATGAAAATATATACTAGGTTGCCTCTGGCTCTTTTTACTTAACAAAAACACATCTGAGAGGATAACATGATGTTGTGTGTATCAAAAGTTCATTTTTTTATTGCTGAACAGCATGGATGTGCCACAGGATTTTTGTTTGTTTGGAACCATTTACTGGATAAAGAGTGTTGGATTTGATTCTAGATTTTGATGATTATTAGTTTAAAATGCTACATTTCTATACAGATTTTCCACAAACCTAAGGTTTTCTTTCCCTTAGACACTACGAATGGAATTGCTGA
The DNA here is from genome assembly GCF_000001405.40 of Homo sapiens. Lineage (NCBI taxonomy): Eukaryota > Metazoa > Chordata > Mammalia > Primates > Hominidae > Homo > Homo sapiens. Next base: position 24,129,382 of record NC_000005.10, on the reverse strand, counting down.
GCCAGATAAGTGTATGATTAGTTTTTTTTTTATTATTATACTTTAAGTTTTAGGGTACATATGCACTTATATAAAACTTACATACACTTTCAAAAGTGGCTGTGTTGTGCATTCCCATCACCAGTGTATGTGAGTGCCAGCTATTCTGCATCCTGGCAGCATTTGGTATTGCCAAGTTCCTTTTTGTTTGTTTGTTTTTCTAATTGCAGCCTTTCTATTGGGTGCGTATGGGGTAGAGTTATGTCATTTGGATTTTAATTTGTACTTTCTGGATGACAGAAGTCCATTTATTTAAGAACAGACTTATCAGGGAAGTTTAAATGACCACATGTCTATGGTGAAATATGTGTTCAAATATTCTGGCTATATATTATTTTTTGTTTTGTTTGCCTATAATTGAACATATATCAAGAAATAGACATATTGGGCTAAAATATTTGCAAATCAGATATCTAACAAAGACATCTGACACAGGACATATAATTCATATAATATATAATCTAATTTAATATAATATGTAATATGTAAAATGTGTCTTTCCACCACTTTTTAAAGTTGGAAAATTTATTTATTTGAGGACAATTTTCTTTTGTAATAAAAACATTTAATGCTATAAATTTCCATCTAATTGTTATTTTTATCACATTCCATTAATTTTGGTGTTTTGGTTTTTCAATTCATTAAAATAAAATATTTTACATTCCCTTTTGGCCTTCCCTTTGAACACATGTTAATTTGGATTATGGGCATTTTATCAATACATAAAACTGTACATATTTATAGGGTACAGTGTGACATTTCAGTGCATGTATACATTGTATACAAATCAAATCATGGTATTTAAGCATACCCATCACCTCTTACATTTAACATTTCTTTGATTTGTGTTGGTTAACAAATTTGGGGAATTTCCAAATATCTTTTTGTTATCAACTTCTGTTTTAGTTCTCTGGTGGGCCAAGGAAATACTTAACAAGAAGGACAAAATAGCAGCTGAGAGTTGTAATGCAAATAGTGGGAAGAAGAAAGGTAATCTCAATGTTTCTGTGAGATGGTGTACAAGCAACACAAGAAAAGGCAGTTGAGTTATTTCGGAATACATTTTTTGTTATTTTGAATTTACATTGTCTAAACTCTCTTTCTTATACTTCAACATTGCTAAAATTACTACAATACTGGATCAGGAAACTTTCTGCATCCATAATAATAAACATTTTGGTAACTGACCATGTCTTTGCATAAAGCACAGTTTCTCCACTTCAGTACTATTGACATTTGGACCAGATAATTATTTGTCGTGTGAGATTGTCTCATGCAACGTAGGACATTAGACTGCATCCCTGGCCTCTTCTCATTAGATGCCAGTAGCACCCACTCCCACTTGTGACAACCAAAAAATGTCTCTAGACATAGCCAAATGTCCCCTGAGGGCAGAATCACATATTTGAGAATGACTTATGTAAAACAATTTAATCTATAAATAAGGTTTTTTACACATAAACAAGACAGAAAATTAAAAAGGATATTCAGGACTTGAACTCAGTTCTGGATCAAGTGGACCTAGCAGACATCTGCAGAACTCTCTGCCCCAAATCAACAGAATATAAATTCTTCTCAGTGCCACATGGCACTATTTCTAAAATAGACCACATAATTGGAAGTAAAACACTCCTCAGCAAATGCAAAATAACTGAAATCACACCAAACAGTCTCTCAGACCACAGTGTAATCAAATTAGAACTTAGGATTTAGAAACTCACTCAAAACCACACAATTACATAGAAATTGAACAACCTGCTTCTGAATAGCTCCTGGGTAAATAATGAAATTAAGGCAGAAATCAAGAAGTTGTTTGCAACCAATGAGAACGAAAAGATAACATACCAGAATCTCTGGGACACAGCTAAAACAGTGTTAAGAGGGAAATTCATAGCACTAAATGTCACATCAGAAAGCTAGAAAGATCTCAAATCAACACCCTAAATTCACAATTAAAAGAGCTAGAGAGGCAAGAGCAAACGAATCCAAAAGCTAGAAAAGACAATAACTAAGATCAGAGAAGAGTTGAAGGAGTTAGAGACATGAAAAACCCTCCGAAAATCAACAAATCCACGAGTGTTTTTTTGAAAAAGTTAGCAAAATAGAGACTGCTAGCTAGACTAATAAGAAGAGAGGGAATAATCAAATAAACACAATAAAAAATGAGAAAGGGGATATCACCACTGACCCCATAGAAATACAAACTACCATCAGAGAATACTACAAACACTTCTATGCAAATAAACTGTAAAAATCTAGAAGAAATGGAGAAATTCCTGGACAAATACACTGTCCCAAGACTAAACTGGTAAGATTTTGAATCCCTGAATAGACCAATAACAAGTTCTGAAATTGAAGCAGTAATTACTGCCTACCAACAACAAAAAAAAAAGCAAGTCCAGATACGACCAGATAGATTCATATCTGAATTCTACCAGAAATACAAAGAGGAGCTGGTACCATTGCTTCTGAAACAATTCCAAACAATTGAAAAGGAGGGACTCCTCCCTAACTCATTTTATGAAGCCACCATCCTCCTGATACCCAAACTGGAAAGAGACACAACAACAACAACAAAAGAAAACTTCAGGCCAATATACCTAATGAATATCGATGCAAAAATCCTCAATAAAATACTGGCAAGCCGAATACAGCAGCACATCAAAAAGCATCCACCATGATCAAGTTGGCTTCATGTCTGGGATGCAAGGCTGGTTCAACATACACAAATCAATAAACATAATCCATCACATAAACAGAACCAAAGGCAAAAAACCACATGATTATCTCAATAGATGAAGAAAAGGTCTTTGGTAAAATTCAACATCCCCTCATGTTAAAAACTCTCAATAAACTAGGTATTGATGGAACATATCTCAAAATATTATTATTTTGAGTTATTTATGACAAACCCACAGCCAATATCATATTGAATGGGCAAAAGCTGGAAGAATTCCCTTTGAAAACCCGTACAAAACAAGGATGCTCTCTCTCACCACTCCTAGTCAACATAGGATGGAAGTTCTGGCCAGGGAAATCAGGCAAGGGAAAGAAACAAAAGGTATTCGAATAGGAAAAGAGGGAGTCAAATTGTCTCTGTTTGCAGATGACATAATTTTATATTAAGAAAATCCCATCATCTCAGCCCCAAAACTCCTTAAGCTGATAAGCAACTGCAGCAAAGTCTCAAGATATGAAATTGATGTGCAAAAATTACAAGCATTCCTTTACACCAACGATAGATAAGCAGGGAGACAAATCATGAATGAACTCCCATTCATAGTCACTACAAAGAGAATAAAATACCTAGTAATACAGCAAACAAGGGATGTAAAGGAATTCTTCAAGGAGAACTACAAACCACCGCTCAAGGAAATAAGAGAGGACATAAACAAATGAAAAAGCATTCCATCCTCATGTATAGGAAGAATGAACATCGTGAAAATGGCCATACTGCCCAAAGTAATTTACAGATTAAATGCTATTCCCATTAAACTACCATTGACATTCTTCATAGAATTAGAAAAAAACTATTTTAAATTTCATGTGGCATCAAAGAAGACCCCATATAGCCAAGAAAATCATAAACAAAAATAACAAAGCTGGAGGCATTATGCTATCTGACTTCAAACTATACTACAAGGCCACAGTAACCAAAACAGAATGGCACTGGTACCAAAACAGATCCATAGAACAATGGAGAAGAACAAAGACCTCAGAAATAACACCACATATCTACAACCATCTGATCTTTGACAAACCTGACAAAAACAAGCAAAGGAGAAAGGATCTTGTATTCAATAAATGGTGCTGGGAAGACTGGCTAGCCATATGCAGAAAACTGAAACTGGACCTCTTCCTTAGACCATATGCAAAAATTAACTCAAGATGGATTCGAGACTTAAATGTAAAACCCCAAACCATAAAAACCATAGAAGAAAACCGAGGCAATACCATTCAGGACATAGGCATGCGCAAAGACTTAATGCCAAAAATGTCAAAAGCAATTGCAACAAAAGCCAAAATTGACAAATGGGATCTAATTAAACTAAAGAGCTTCTGCACAGCAAAAGAAAATAGCATCAGAGCGAATAGGCAAGCTACATAGTAGGAGAAAATTTTTGCAATCTGCCTATCTGACAAAGGTCTAATATCCAGAATTTCCAAGGACTTCAACAAATTTACAAAAATAAAACAAACAACTCCATCAAAAAGTAGGCAAAGGATATGAAGAGACACTCCTCAGAATAAGACATTTAGGCAGCCAACAAACATATGAAAAAAAACTCAACACCACTGATCATCAGAGAAATGCAAATCAAAACCACAATGAGATACCATATCATGCCATTCAGAATGGTGATTATTAAAAAGTCAGGAAACAATACATGCTGGCAAGGCTGTGGAGAAATAGGAAAGCTTTTACACTGTTGCTGGAAATGTAAATTAGTTCAATGATTGTAGAAGACAGTATGGCAATTTGTTAAGGATCTAGAACAAGAAATACCATTTGACCCAGCAATCTCATTACTGGATATATACCCAAAGGAATGTAAATCATTCTACTACAAAAACACATTCACACATATGCTTATTGCAGCACTATTTATAATACCAAAGATGTGGAACCAACCCAAATGCCCATCAACGATAGACTGGATAAAGAAAGTGGGGTACATATACACCATGGAGTACTATGCTGCCATAAGAAGGAATGAGATCATGTCTTTTGCAGGGACATGGATGAAGCTGGAAACCATCATTCTTAGCAAACTAACACTGGAACAGAAAACCAAACACCACAGGTTCTCACTCATAAATGGGAGCTGAACAATGAGAACACATGGACACAGACAGGGGAGACAACACATACCAGGGACTGGTGGTGAGTGGGAGGTGAGAGGAGGGAACTTAAAGGACAGGTCAATGGGCACAGCAAACTACCACAGTACATGTATACCTATGTAACAAACCTGCACATTCTGCACATGTATCCTATTTTTTTTTTTTGAACAGAAACTTTTTTAAAAAGATTTTTTTTTTTTTTTGAGATGGGGTTTTGCTCTTGTTTCCCAGGCTGGAGTGCAATGGCATGATCTCAGCTTACCGCAACCTCTGCCTCCCAGGTTCAAGCGATTCTCCTGCCTCAGCCTCCCGAGTAGCTGGGATTACAGGCATGCGCCACTGTGCCCAGCTAATTTTGTAGTTTTAGTAGAGACAGGGTTTCTCCATGTTGGTCAGGCTGGTCTCGAACTCCTAACCTCAGGTGATCCACCTGCCTCAGCCTCCCAAAGCGCTGGGATTACAGGCATGAGACACTGCACCCAGCCTAAAAAAGATTTTTTTTAAACTGAAAGACAAATATTACATTTCCAACTTTTGTCAGTGGAGGAGAGAATCAAAAGAAACTCTCAAATTTCAATTTATTTAACTATTTTTGAATGTATATAAGTGCATTATTATTAAAAAATGAAAACATATGACAAATTTTTATACAACAAACATTAAATTTTTCCAATTTTAATGTCTTTTTTGCATTGATCATATATAATCACATATTTGAAAGAATTCACAAGATTTCAGGGTTTCCTCACAAAAGGATTTAATACAGATACAGGGTATAGTATAGTAGAAGAAAGAAGGCACAGGCAAGCCTCAGGGCCAAAGGGTCTTCCAGATGCAGTTCTCAGGTTTCTTTCTCAGTTGCAGAGTGATATGGTTTGGCTCTGTGTCTCCACCAAAATCTCACCTTGAGTTGCAATTCCCATGTGTCAGAGGAGAGGCCTGGTGGGACATGATTGGATCATGGGGGCAGATCTCTCTTGCTGTTCTTTTGACAGTGAGCTCTCACAGGAGCTGATGGTTTTAGAGTGTGACACTTTGCCCCTCCCTTTCTTTCTCTCTTCTGCTGCCATGTAGGTTATGCCTTTCTTCCCATTCATCTTCCACCATGATTGTAAGTTTTCTGAGGCCTCTCCATCTATGAGGAATTGTAAGTCAATTAAAACTTTTCCTTTATAAATTACCCAGTTTCAGGTAGGTCTTTACAGCAGCTTGAAAATTATCTAATACAGAAAATTGAAACTGGGAGTGAGGCACTGCTATAAAGATACCTGAAAATGTGGGAATGACTTTGGAACCGGATAATGGAAAGAGTTTGAAACGGTTTGGAGGGCTCAGAAGAAGACAGAAAGATGTGAGAAAGATTGGAACTTCCTAGAGACGTGTTAATAGGTTTTGATGAAAATGCTCATGTGATATGGACAATGAAAAACCAGGCTGAGGTGGGCTCAGATGGAGATGAGGAACTTATTAGAAACTGGAGCAAAGGTTACTCTTGCTATGCTTTAGCAAAGAGACTAATGGCGATTTTCTCTGCCCTAGAGATCTGTGGAGCTTTGAACTTGAGAGAGATGGTTTAGTGTATCTGGCAGAAGAAATTCCTAAACAGCAAAGCATTCAAGATGTGACCTGGCTTTTCCTAAAAGCATACAGTTATACGCATTCACAAAGAGAAGATTCGAAATTGAAACTTAGGTTTAAAAGGGAAAAAACATAACAGTTTGGAAATTTGCAGCCTGGCCATACTGTATTAAAAAAAGGAACAAACATATTTTTTGAGAGAGATTCAAGCTAGGGGCAAACATTTCCACAATTAATGAGAAGCCAAGTATTAATAGCCAAAAAAATGATGAAAAATGTCTCCAGGGCATTTCAGAAATCTTCCAGCAGCCTCTGCCATCACAGGCCCAGAGGCCTAGGAGAGAAAAATGGTTTCATGGGCCAAGCCTGGTGCCCCCACTGGTCTGTGCAGCCTCAAGACATGACACTCTGTATCCCAGCTGCTTCAGCTCCAGCTGTGGCTAAAAGGAGCCAACATACAGCTCAGGTTATTGATTCAGAGGGTGTAAGCCCCAGGCATTGGCAGCTTTCAAGTGGTGTTGGGCTTTTGGGTGCAGAAGACAAGAGTTAAGCTTTGTAAGCCTTCACCTAGATTTCAGAGGATGTATAGAGGTGCCTGGATGTACAGGCAGAAGTCTGCTGCAGTGGCAGAGGCTTCATGGAGAACCTCTACAAGGGCAATGCAGAGGGGAAGTGCGGGGTTGGAGCCCCCACATAGAGTCCCCACGGGGGAATTGCTTAGTGGAGCTTTTGAAAAGAAGGCCACCATACTCCGGACCCCAGAGTGGTAGATCCACCGACACCTGGAAAAGCAACAGGCAATCAATGCCAGCCTCTGAAAGCAGGCATGGGGACTATACCCTGAGGAGCCACACAGGAAGAGCTGTCCAAGGCTTTGGGTGCCCACATCTTTTGTCAATGTGCCCTGGATGTGAGACAAGGAGTCAAAGATTATTTTGGAGCTTTAAGATTTAATGACTGCCCTGTTGTTTTTCGAAATTACGTGGGGCCTGTAGCCCCTTTGTTTTGACCAATTTTTCCCATTTGGAATAGAAACATTTACCCTATGCCTTTATGCCCATTGTACCTTGGAGGTAAGTAACTTGTTTTTAATTTTACAGGCTCATAGCCACAAGGAACTTGCCTTCTCTCAGATGAGTCTTTAGACTTGGACTTTTGAGTTAATGCTGGAATGAGTCAAGACTTTGGGGGACTGTTGAGAAGGCATGATTGGTTTTGAAATATGAAAAGGACATGAAATTTGGGAGGGGAAGAGACGAATGATACGGTTTGACTCTGTGTCCCTACCCAAATCTCACCTTGAACTGTAATCCCCATGTGTTAGAGGAGTGGCTTAATAGGAGATGACTGGATCATGGGGGCAGATTTTTCCTTGCTGTTCTTGTGATAGTGAGTGAGCTCTCATGAAACCTGATGGTTTTAAAGTGTGGTACTTTGCCCCTCGCTCTCTCTGTCTCTCATGCTGCCAAGTAAGACGTGTTTTGCTTCCCCTTCACCTTCTGCCATGATTTTAAGTTCCACAGCCACCTGGAACTGTGAGTCAATTAAACGTCTTTTCTTTATAAATTACCCAGTCTCAGGTAGTTCTTTATAGCAATGTGAAAATGGACGAATACACAGAGGATGTGCTTTGTCTCTGAATTTTAACACTCATTGTCTTAGAGAGAAATCTTAGATGCAGGGAACTGAAGCAAAAGTTTCCAGGAGGGTCTTATATACTCCACTGGTCACATAACTTAAGGCATGCTGTGTAATCAGTTATAGAGGTTTTAAAGGCATCAATCCATAAATCACTAAACAATATAAGCCAGCTATTCTAAGATATTTTCCAACTTTAGCCAGCATATTACACATCTCTAGCTAGCACATCTTGTCCGTATATTGACTAGTCTTTGAGGCATTCCTAGAAATCAGTAAAGAGCTATACCTATCTACCTGTAAGATAATTATCCTACACATCCCCTCAAAGAATAAGCAAACAAAGCATACTTTTCTCATGTCTTCCAAGATTTATACATTTCTCTGGCTGGCTTTAGCCAATCTTTCTTTTTTCTTTGCAACCATTGTTCTAGTCATGATTCTTCTTACACAGTTATGTAATTGCCACATCATACATTTAATTTTGTTTTTGTTTTTTAGCCTTTTAAAAACATTTTACAAGACATCCATTTAAGGTAGAAATTGATTAGTTTTATGCAGTTGTGCAGCTATCAACATAGTCTAGTTCTAGAAGATTTTCATTCCCCAAAGGATTCCTGATGCTCATTTGTAGTCAATCCCTGCTCCCTGTCTTGATCACAGTCACTAATCTGCTTCCTCTAGATACTGTTTTGCTCTTTAAAGATATTCTGTATATATGGAATCATTTTGTGTCTGAATTCTCTCACTTAGCATGATGCTTCTGAGATTCATCCATGTTGTTCTATGTATTAGTAGTTCATTCTCTCTGCTATTGAGTGCACTTTCATTGTATGAATATAGCATATTTCCTATATCCTTACCCAGCTGATGAACATTTGGCTTGTTTCTAATTTTTTTATATTATTAATAAGGTAGCTACGAATATTGGTGTGTATGTCTTTGAACATATGTTTTCATTTCTTTGGATGAATAACAAGGAGCATAATTGCAGTGTTTTAATGTAAATGTATGTTTAACTCATTAAGAAACTGTCAAAGGGTTTTGCAATATGGTTGGAGCATTTTATATTCTTACCAGTGATGTGATAAAATTTCTGTTTCCCTGTATCTTTATTGACACTCATTATTGTAGTCTTTTTAAATGTAGCCATTGTAATGGGTGTTTATTGGTTTTGTTTGCATTCCCCTAAGGACTAATAATGTTGAGCATCTTTTGATCTGCTTATTATTTGACATTTTAATAAAGTATCTATTCAAATTCATATTTTGAATTTGAAATATAAAAATATAAAAATAAAATATAAAATATTTTTATAATTTTATTTTTATTATGCTGTTTGTCTACTATTGACTTTTAAGATTTTTTTTACTATTTTATATTTAACATCTTTATCAGATACATCATCAGAAACTATTGTTCCCTTAGCTGAGGCTTGCCTTTTCTTTTTCCTGATGATAGATTTTGAATGCCAAAATACTTTTATTTTGATGAAACCAATTAATTTTTTTATTTATTATTATATCCAAGGACCATTTACCAACTCAAGGTCACAAAGATTTTTCACCTTTGTGAAAAGACACACAAAGTTTTATTCTAAAGATTTTATAGTTTCAGCCTTTACAGTTGATTCTATAATCCCTTCTAAGTTAATTTTGTATGGTACTCACTAGGTAATGAGGTTCTGGTATTGTTTTGTTTTTTTGCATAAAGGTATACAATTACTCCAGCAACAGTGTTGAAGTCTATCTGATCCCTATTGAATTACTTTGGCACACTTTTCCAAAATCAATTGACCCTATGTGTATGTTTACCTCTATAGTCTCTGATATGGTTTGGCTGTGTCTCTACCTAAATCTCACCTTGAATTATAGTAATCCTTACTTGTCAAGGGCAGGGCTGAGTGGAGATAATTGAATCATGGGAGCAGTTTCCCCAAAACTGTTCACGTAGTGGTGAGCAAGTCTCACAAGATCTTATGCTTTTATAAATGGGAGTTCCCCTGCACATGTTCTCTCTTGCCTGCCACCATGTAAGATGTGACTTTGCTCCTTCTTGCCTTCTGCCATGATTGCGAGGCCTTCTGAGACATATGGAACTGTAAATCAGTTAAATCTTTCTCCTTTTTAAATGATCTAGTCTTGCGTATATCTTTATTAGCAGTGTGAGAACAGACTAATACAGTCTCTATTCTGTTCTATAGATCTTTGTGTCTACCCTTATGCTAATACTACATTAACTTGTTTACTATAGCTTAAGAGTAAGTTGTAAAATCAGGTAGTAAAAATCTTCTAATCTTGTTCTATTATTTGAAAACTGTTTTGATTATTTTAAACACTGTTCCCATGCAGTGATTACCATTAAATATCTGCTAATTTAATAGGTATATAGACACAGTATATGTGTACTGGCACAATTGTTATACACTGATTTATATCTAATGAAATAATGGCTATTTTACCAAAAATAGTTTAAAATAAAACAATAAAAGTATTTATTGCAACATCATTAGCCATAGGGAAATGCAAATTAAAACCACAGTGAGATATCCCTACGTATTAGAATGGCTAAAATAAAAAATAATAAAAACAACATATACTGGTGAAGATGCAGAGAAACTCAATTACTCATACATTGATGGTGGAGATGAAACATGATATAGTCATTCTGAAAGGAAGTTCGGCAGTTTCTTACAAAGCTAAACATATACTTACCATCTGGCTCAACAATTGCTCTTTTGAGAATTTATGCCAAAGAAATTAGAATTTGTATTCACACAAAAATCTGTGCTCATAGGATCTTTATTTCTAAGAGTTAAAAATGGGAACATCACAGATGTCTTTTAACAGATGATGGTTCAATAAACTATGATTCATATATACCATGAAACACTACTCATCAATAAAAAGGAATGGACTAAGGATACACATTTATTTAGATAATTCTCAATAGAATTATGCTGAGTGAAAAGAAAAAAAGAAAATCTCAAATGTTTATATACTATTTAAATATATTTATATAACTGTTATAACTATCAAAATTATAGAAAAAGAGCTGAGTAGTCCCCAGTGGTTAAGGAATGGGGAAAGAGGAAAGGTGGCTGGACTACAAAATGAAAGTCTGATGGATCCTCATGATTAAGCTGTTCTGTGTCTGAGCTATCTTAGTGGTCACATGAATCTCCACAAGTGATAAAATTGCATAGAAACAACCATACACACTTGAGTGTCTATAACATTGGTGAACTCTTAATAATATCACTGGATTGTCTCAGGGCCCATTTCCTGATGTGGCTTCATATCATAGTTTTGATGTTACCACTGGGGGAAATTGAGTGAAGGGAATATAGGACCTGTCTGTATTACTTATTACAACTGCATGTCTATGTACGATTATCAAAACATTTAAAAATAATGAAACCTTTAAAAAGTGTATTGAACACTTACATCCTTGACAATTTTGTAATCTCTAGAGCTATAATTGGGTAGATTCACAGTCTAATTATTCCTGATGTGTAACGAAGAGCTGATATTATTTCTAATGAAACTATTCCAAAAAATGAAGAAGATGGAATACTTTATAATTCATCCCCTGAGGGCAGTATCATTCTAATACTAAAACCCGGCAGAGTCAGAACAAAAAAATAAAACTTCCGGCCAATAACCTTTGGTGAACATAGATGCAAAAGTTCTAAACAAAACACTAGCAAAATGAATCCAGCAGTACATCAAAAAGGTAATCTACCACGAGCAGGTAGGTTTTATTCCTGGGATGCAAGGTTGGTTCAACATATGAAAAATCAATAAATGTGATTCATCACAAAAACAGAACTTAAAACAAAAACCACATGATCAGGTCAATAGATGCAGAAAAGGCTTTCTATAAAATTTAACATCTCATCATTTTAAAAAAATCCTCAAAAAACTAGGCATTGAAGGAGCATACCTCCAAATAATAAGAGCCATATATGATAATCCGACAGCCAACATCATAACTGAATGGGCAATAGCTGAAAGCATTCCCCTTAAGACACAGAAAAAGATAAGAATGGCCTCCCTCACTACTACTTTTCAACATAGTACTGGAAGTCCAAGCCAGAGCAATCAGGCAAAAGAATTAAATAAAAGGTATCTAAGTAGGAAGAGAGGAAGTCAAACTATCTCTCTTTGCAGACCATATAGTTTTATATCCCACAGTCTCTGTCCAAAAATTCCCAAATCTGATAAACAACTTTAGCAAAGTTTCAGTATACAAAATCGATGAACATCAAAATCAATAACATTTCTTTCTTTTTTTTTCGTTTTTTTTTTTCTTTTTGAGTTGGAGTCTTGCTCTGTTACCCAGGCTGGAGTGTAGTGGCACCATCTCGCTCACTGCAAGCTCCACCTCCCAGGTTCACGCCATTCTCCTGCCTCAGCCTCCCGAGTAGCTGGGACTACAGGCGCCCACCACCACGCCCGGCTAATTATTATTTTTTTTTGTTTTGTATTTTTAGTAGATACGGGGTTTCACCATGTTAGCCAAGATAATCTCGATCTCCTGACCTCGTGATCCGCCCACCTTGGCCTCCCAGAGTGCTGGGATTACAGGCGTGAGCCACCGCGCCCGGCCATCAGTAACATTTCTATACACCAATAACATCCAAGCTGAGAGCCACATCAAAACACAATTCCATTCACAATAGCCAAAACATAAAATAAAATACCAAGGAATAGAGCTAACCAGGGAGATGAAAGATCTCTACGATGAGAATTACAAAACTCTGCTGAAAGGAATCAGAGACGACACAAACAAATGGGAAAACATCCCATGCTCATGGATTGGAAGAATCAACATTGTTAAAATGGCTATACTTCCCAAAACAATGTACAGATTCAATGCTATTACTATCAAAGTACCAATGTTATTCTTCAAATTATTAGAAAAACTAACATTCCTACAGAATCAAAAAAGAGCCTGAAGAGCTCACAGTAACCAACTTCAAACTACAGTACAAGACTACAATGGCCCAAACAGCAGGTACTGGTACAAAAACAGACACATAGACCAAGGAAACAGAACAGAGAGGCCATAAATAAAGCTTCACACCTACAATCATATGATCTTTGACAAAGTTGACAAAAACAAGCAATTGGGAAACTACTCCCTATCCTATTCAATAAATGGTGCTGGAATAACTGGCTAACCATATTCAGAAATTGAAACTGCTCTCCTTTATTTCACTTTATACAGAGATCAACTCAAGATGGATTAAAGACTTACATGTAAAATCTAAAACCATAAAAACTCTAGAAGGTAACCTAGTAAATATCATCCATGACATAGACCCTGTCAAAGATTTCATGACGAAGATGTCAAAAGCAATTGTGACAAAAACAAAAATTGACAAATGGGACCTAAGTAAACTAAAGAGCTTCTGCACAGCAAAACAAATTATCAACAGAGTAAACAGAATGGAAGAAAATATTTGCAAACTATGTATCTGACAAAGGTCTAATATCTAAAATGTATGAGGAACTTAACCAAATCAACCAGAAAATAATTCCATTAAAAAGTGGACAAAGGACACGAACAGAAATTTTTTAAAAGACATACACACAACCTATACACTTATGAAAAATTACTTGATACCACTATCATTCAGAAAATGCACATCAAATCCACAATGAGATATCATCTCACGCAAATCGGAATGGCTATTAAAAGTAAAAAAATAACAGATGCTGACAAGGTTATAGAGAAAACACTTGCACAGTGCTGGTGGGAATGTAAATTTGCTCAGCCATTGTGGAAAGCAGTTTAGTGATTTTTCAAATAACTGAAAACAGAACTATCATTTGACCCAGCAATCCCATTATTGGTTATATGCCCAAAGGAATAAAAGTCGTTTTACCATAAAGACATGTGCATGTGTGTGTTCATCACAGAACTATTCACAATAACAAAGACATGGAATCACCCTAGATCAACAGTGAACCCATCGACAGTGGACTTGATAAAGAAAATGTGGTATATATACACCATGGAATACAACAGGCACCCGCCATCACGCCCGGCTAATTTTTTTTGTATTTTTAGTAGAGACGGGGTTTCATCGTGTTAGCCAGGATGGTCTCTATCTCCTGACCTCGTGATCCGCCTGCCTCAGCCTCCCAAAGTGCTGGGATTACAGACGTGAGCCACCGCGCCCAGCCATCAGTAACATTTCTATACACCAGTAACATCCAAAAATAATTAGAATATGCCCTTTGAAGAAACATTCATAGGCTTGGAGGCCATTATCCTAAGTGAACTAACACAGGAATAAAAAATCAAATACTGCATCTTCTCACTTACAAGTGGGAGCTAAGCATTGAGTACACGTGGACATAAAGTAGAAAACAGTACACTTCGGGGCCTATTTGAGGTCGAAGCATGAATGAAGGTGAAGCTAGAACAATTACCCATCAGGTACTATGCTTATTACCTGGGTGACAAAATAATCTGTACACCAAACTCCTGGGACATGCAATTTACCTATAACAAAGTTGTACATGTACCCCTGAAACTAAAATAAAAGTTTTAAAGAAACAGGTGGCTTAATTTTCTAATCAAATTACTTAACTTTTAGACACATGCACACGTATGTTTATTGCGGCACTATTCACAATAGCAAAGACTTGGAACCAACCCAAATGTCCATCAATGATAGATTGGATTAAGAAAATGTGGCACATATACACCATGGAATACTATGCAGCCATAAAAAATGATGAGTTCATGTCCTTTGTAGGGACATGGATGAAGCTGGAAACCATCATTCTCAGCAAACTACCACAAGAACAAAAAACCAAACACCGCATGTTCTCACTCATAGGTGGGAATTGAGCAATGAGAACAGCTGGACACAGGAAAGGGAACATCACACACCGGGGCCTGTTGTGGGGTAGGGGGAGGGGGGAGGAATAGCATTAGGAGATATATCTAATGTTAAATGATGAATTAATGGGTGCAGGACACCAATATGGTACATGTATACATATGTAACAAACCTGCATGTTGTGCACATGTACCCTAGAACTTAAAGTATAATATATATATATATATATATATATATATATATATATATAAACTTTTAGCATACTCATAACACGATAAAAATACATTGTTTAAATAATATATTATTCATATTATGTGTGCTTGACACATTTAGACTATTAAATCTATTTGTTCAGTAACATAATACAATAAAAATTATGCTAGTTTGGGGGATGTAACTGTGGAAAAAGTTGAATCTGATCCATGTATTTAGAAGAAACAATATCAAATAAAAGTTAAAATATACTAATACTTAGTAAGAGGCAAAACTGTTGTAAATTCTTTACATACATGAAATTGTTTGTACCTAGAATTTCATAACAAGTCCATGAAGCAGGCTCCAATATTAGCCCTATTTTGAAACTGAGTGAACTAATGCAAAGGAAGCAGACAAGTCAATTTCAGAGAGCCTACAAATGAAAGACCTAACCTTTAAATTTAGGCATTTGCCCAAGCTCTCTTATCTGCCTCTTTAATAGCCTCTCAGTGGTACCTCATGTAAGTCTCACTAAGGATTTCAAGATGAGAAAAACCCAGTATAGGCTTGAGGAGCTCTAGCAATTGTTATGAGTTGCTTAGACACATTTATGTTCAAGATAAAACAAGAAGAACAGACTACAAGAACTGCAAAACTATATGTTGTGGTATATTATTTTTGAAGAATCACATTCAAACCAGTCAATGAAGAATCACTAGGATGTAAGAGACAGGTTAATAGGGGAAACTAACCTTTCCTAAGGTACAGAAATATTTTAACGTAGCTCCTAAAATGAAAGTTGAAGAAAGAATGTACTGTAGGTGGGGCAGGTAGAAATCAGAAAGTCCATGTAAAGAGAGTCACAAGTTAGTAGTAATGGGATACAGGAGGGGACCAAAGTTGCTATTATTAGGAAAAAAATGACTGAATTTGAACACTAATTCACTATAAGCAATAAGGAACATAATTTGTCAAAAGCGATTTTGGCAATTTTAAATATAGGAGGTTGAGAACTGGTGGCATAAGAAACATTGTCCCAAATGCACACTTTCCCCTTCAGTAGAGAAGGAGTGTTCTCCAGGTTCCAGAAGTGCCAGCAGCAGTCCACATCTTTCACTCATCAGCTCTCTGGGGAAAGTGCATTGGCCTAAGAAACTGTGAAGAGTCTTGGATCTTTCTGGTGCAGCCCAAATCTATCACCCAGTTAATACAGTAATATAAAGATACATAAAATTGACACAAGGAAAGAAAACTCTGTGGAACCATCTCAGTTTTAGTGATCTGCATGGGGCAAACAGGCCTTTATTGAGACCACAGCACAAGTGAACTCCCACCTCTCTCTAACCCTGCTTCTTCCTAGCTCTTCCTCAAATCCCAGGCATACTCTCTGATGAAACTCCAGGATTTCAGTCTCTGCCCCTTCTGTTGTCCTCAGAAACCAACCTGGAACAGTTAGCATTTTTAAACACTGTGTAATTAATGTGCTTCCAGTTTGGGGGCGATGAGATTTGTGTTGACTGTTGAGCTGATGCTTCTATTTTTGTGTCTTATTAGTAATGTTTCTCTAGCTCTGAATTTCCTGGTGAAATCATCACTCAAGTTAATAGGTCATTCTTGACTTTTCTCTCTAGGTCCTGTCATTGACACTGTTCTGTCTACTTTGTTGTGTGAAATTTCAGTTATGGATTTCTCCTATCACTCGACTATTGTCTAGGTTCTTGCCTTGACCATACCTTTTGTACCTTGACAGCCTCACATTATTTTCTAATCAATTCTCCCTACTCTAGCTAACAGAGAGATCCTTCTAATAGTCATAGTTTTTCCTGACCCACTCAAATTATAATTCTTATTTCTCTTTCTATTATCTACAGAAAAGAAAAAGTATTTATGGGAGTTTGTAATAGATAATTGGAGATAATTCACTTGCATACCTTGCTGGCTTTATCTTCTGCTATATTCTTTTCCCACCTTGGCCTATTATTATATAATATAGCTTAAATTTGTGAGGTATTTGCTATTGACCAGGAAGAACTGTCCAAAATGATTTACATGGATTACTTCATGTAACCCTCACAACTTTACAAGCTTAATAAACTACTTGCAATACCCTGACTATATCAAGCTAATATATATGTCTCAGTTTGTATTGCTTCCTCCATATGCACTGACCTCCCCTTCCCTGGTCTCCCATGTGAGCATCTACTGATCCTTCCAGACTTATGTCACTTATTACCTCCTCTATTAATACTTTCTGCTGTCACTTCCAGTATTAGTTTTGACTTACTCTTCACCATTAATCTAGATATTTCTCTCACAAAAGCTTTAATTCTTTACTAATTTTTTTAACCATTCACTCCCTACTGAACTTTTGGCAAGATGATGAAATAAATCATATTTAATATTTTCTCTTCTATAATTCAAAATATTTAATGCAAAAAAAGCAATACATAGACAACACTACTGTCTTATTCTACCAACATGAACAATGATTAAAGTGATTTTATCTAATGTATATAGTTAACATCTATAGAACTTGGCTTAGAGATGTGTTTGTGTTACAGGATAAAAGAATGGATTTTAAAATCAGTAAGAGCTGGGTTTGAATCCTGGTTTTTTTCTCTTATTAATATAGGAATTCATTTAAATTATTTTTTATATCACTTTCCTCTGTAATGTGCTAGTCATGGCAGCTAACTTTTTTTTCCAACAAACCTGAAAAGTAAGTTGATTATTTTATATTACACATAGTACATAGGAAAGGAACAACTAACAATCATGTGTGCCTGACTTCAGAACTGAGTTTTAACTCTGCCTTTCACTATATCAAGTTAAGTCAGAACTGGTAGCTTGTACCTAAAATTCCATCTTAGGGCAGATGGTGCTACACTAGATACAGGTTACAGCTGGCCCTAGTCTTGGGTCAGTTTCTTAGTTGCAAGTGCTTGAGGGTGCTCCTTTTTGCAGAATTTTCCGAATTTTCCTATAGTAGCTCAATGTTGGAGCTAAAAAGGAAAGCCATATGCAGGCCATTATTTAATAGCCAAGTCTCTACTCATGGTAAATTCAACTGTGTTGTACAGACCCAGAAAAATAAACCACTGTGGCTGCTTGTATCAACTCGCTTCATTATCTATTGCCTCCTTTCCTTTTCTTACACAATTTCTGCCACCAGACAAATCTGCTTTTCATCTACACCTTTATCTCCTGCTATTTATTACCAAATTCCACACAAGTACATGCTACCATTTGTAAAACACTGATCTACAAAACAGAAAATTAATTAATGAAGCGATACTTCATTACACTTATAACAGAAAACTGGCTCCCTAGGGGAAAAAATGAAGTGTCTGAAAATTCTCTTATTCATATAAATCAGCTACAAAAGCAGAAACTAATAAACTCAATTAATAAATTTGTTTTTCATTTTCATTTTGATTATCTCAATACTTTCAAGAAGTATTACTGATACTAAATAGAATGCACAAATTTATATTAAAAATTACAAATGAAACATCATTTTAGTAGTAAGCATTTAATAAATAGTATTATTTAAAATGACTTCAATTCCAGATAATCTTTCAACTAGATTTACATTTACTGATTTCCTGAATTTCTAGTAGAAATTAATAAGAGACAAATTATGAACAACGACAAAAAAGAAAATACATTTTGGTGTATTTCTGAATTGTTGTATACTTTAAAATACAAAATGTGGAAACATTGAGCTTGTTGGATAATTCCTGCTTTAAATATGATTTGCTTATAAAGAATGACTTGAATCTTTTTGTGTGAAATTAAACTTAATTTAATTTGCTCTATAAAAAATAACTAAAGCCTACTTGGGCTACATTCTTCATATTGCTAATTTATAGACAAGCAGTCTCCAAATATTCATTGTGATATATTTCTTTAAAGCATGTTTTACAGAAAAGTAGTGTGAAATGTTATCATTTTTCCCCCATAAGCAATCAGTAATATTCCACCGGACAGAAAGGATGCAGTTACTGTTTTGACACTAGATGGCATTCCTGTGTAATCAGAAGAGCAAAAGGCTAATGCAGTTGCTAGTCTTTTTTTCCTGAGACCCGTCATAAATTTAGAAATGGACTGCAGCTGGGAAAAATTAAATATAGGTTTTTATTGAGAAGATTATGTGAATAAGCCAATTTTGTATCATGTTATTTACAGTTTGTTGACTATTAAAAATTACTTTCCTGCCTTCATTAAATTAGAAGAATGGATGTCAGCTACAAAAAAGCCATCTTTTTACTTTTTATCTGTGATACCTACTTTCATGCAAGTATTTTTGTTTATGTTGATAATGCAGAAAAAATATTTATTTGAATTTCCTATAAAGTTGGATCACAGATTCATTTCAATGAGAAAATAGTTTTAAGTATCAAAATTGAAGGTTATCTTTAGATTTGTAATTATTGTACAAAGTTTAAACAACATTTAAAAACCTCTTTATATTATCCTAAACGTTGTACTTTTCTTGAAAATTCTCATTCCTTGTCATTTGTATATTATACTGAAATAAACTAATTTAATTTTATGTGCACCTTAACATTATTCAAATATGAGTATGTTCTTGTAAAGATGGAGCTTCTCAAACCTCTGTATAAAATGCAAATACAGAAAATGATGATATTTGTGTAACAAACTTGAGGAGAAAGAAGGGGCTGTTCAAAACCTGGTTTTGAGAATATCAATATCTCAGGAACCTGCAAGTCATTCATGGTACCCAGTTAAGATGCTCAGTGTTAGACATAAACACACACATGCAAATTTTAATAAAATTAGCCACTTTTCTTCAAAATTATGCTAAAAAGTGCATATTTTGTCAAATTTGTTCTTTCTGTGAAATGAGAGGAAACATTAATTATTTCAACAAGAGGACATATTTATTGGCATGTGTCCAGCAAATCACAAATTTTTTCTCTAATTTTCAAAGCAATTAATTTAGCTTAATCCTACCCCCCTTCCATTAGACATGAAGAAAGCCTTGGTTGGGAGAATTAAGTTACTTATCACAGGTTACCAAGTACTAGAACTAGAATTAAAACTGAAGTCTCTGAATCCATACACAACAAATTTTTCACTACATAATTCAGTATTCTTGTTAGGCTGAATTATGGCACCTGCAAATTTATGTTTGGCGTTACAACCCCTAGTCCTCAGAATGTAACCATATTTGGAGACAAGGCCATTAAAGAGATAATGATGGTTAATTAGGTCATATAAGGTGGGACCCTTCTCCGATATGGTCAGTGTCTTTAAAACAAGAGAAAGAGACATTAGGGATGGTCACGCATAGAGGAAAAGACCATGTGAGGACACGCAAAAAGTCAGCCACTTGCAAACTAAGGAGAAAGGCCTTGGGAGAAACTCAACCTGCCAATGTCCTGATTTTGGATTTCCTATCCTCAGACTTGTAAAAATATAAATCTCTCGTTTTTAACCCCCCTAGTTTGTGGCATTTTGTTATAATATCCGTAGAAAACTACTACAATGCCCAAAACATTATTCTTAACATGTAATCGAATCCAGTTTATCATAACTTCCCACATATTTAAAGAGCCTTTACACAAACATATTCTTAAAATAGTATGTACACGCAATGCCATAGGTGTAACCATTAGGTATTTTTGTTGGTGCCCCCCCACCACAAATGTGTGTATATGAGCTTTTACCTGGAATCAATAGAAGGGAGTGTCTGGGATAAGATAAGGGGCTGCAGAAACTAAGTTTCCTATTCTGCAAATGAAGCCTCCCCGTAGCAGGCTTCAGAGAGAATAGATTGTAAATGTTCCTTATCAAACTTAACAAGGTGCCAGACTCTGTCTATATATGTATACACACAGAAAAATCAGGGACCATTTTAGATTAGACTGACTGAATTTTTACCTAAAAGCATCTGAAAAGGCATTGTCTTAATAGGGAAGTCATCTATATGTTGATACGGATGTCATATTACTGAATGTAAAAAGCAAGACCAAAAGCAACATATATGAAAATGGAATACAGCATTTTAGATAATAATTAATATATGAGTGTGTAGAAAATAAATGCACATATACACATGGATGCATATATTTATTATTGTTAAGTTTATGGAAGTACAGTTAACATACAAAGAATTCACTCTACAGTGCTCAGCTCTGTGAATTTTGACAAAATTAGTCATGTTATATGCATCAAAATCATAATATAAAATAATTTCTTTATTCCCCAATTTCTCTTCTATTTGAAGCTAATATCTTATCCAATTCCCAGGTAATATCTTCATAGCTTTTCTTTATTAGAATGTCTTATAAATTAAAGCATATGGTGTATAGCCTTTGGAGCCTGAAACTTTTTATTTTGTTTCCTTTTTTTGTTTTTATAATGAATTAGAAACTTATCCATATTGTTGCATATACCAATCAATTTTATAGTGGCTTTCTTTTTTTTTTTTTTTTTTTTTTTGTGCTGAGTACTCTCCCACTGCCTGGATATATCAGAAATTGCTCATCCATCTGGGTTGTTTTCTGGTTTTAGCAATGATAAATAGAGCCACTAAAATGTTTGCATAAGGTTTTTGGGTGAGCATATGTTTTCATTATTCTTAAATACATATATTAGTGTGGGGATATATGGCTAAAATATATTTTATTTAATGAAAAGTGCCAAGGTATTTTCCCAAATGATGTTTCATTTTATATTCTAACCAACAATGTATGATTTTTTCAGGGATTCCACATCCTAATCAGAACTTCGTATCTTGAAACATTTTTTTAGATGTCCTAAAAAGTTTAAGTGTACGTTTCCCTAAAGATTAATGATGTTCTTATTTTTTCATGTGTATATTTGCCTCTAATATATAAATCTTTATTAAAATATCTGTCCAAATATTTTTCTTATTTTATAAGAAAATAGGTGTAAGTTTTATAATAACAACTCATTATTAATAATGAGTTGTTCATTATTGAATTTTGCAAGTTCTATGTATATTCTGGCTATTTGTTCTTTACTAGATACATGTGTTGATGGCGTAAAACTTTGTAAAGTATTTGAAGAGATTTATTCTGCGCCAAATATGAGTGGCATTGCCCTATAACACAGCCCCAGGATATTCTGAGAACATATGCCCCAGATGGTTGAGCTGCAGCTTGATTTTATCCATTTTAGGAGACAAAAGACATCAATCAATATATGGGTATACACTGGTTCATACAGAATGGTGGGACAACTCAAAGTCGGGGCTTCCAGGTCATAGGTAGATTCGAAGATTTTCTGATTAGCAACTGGTTGAAAAAGTTTATCTAAAGACCTGGAATCAATAGAAGAGAGTGTCTGGGATAAGATAAGGGGTTGTGGAGACTAAGGTTCCTATTGTGCAAATGAAACCTCCCCATAGCAGGCTTCTGAGAGAATAGATTGTAAATGCTTCTTATCAGACTTAAAAAGGTGCTGGGCTCTTATTTAATTCTCTCCTGGGTTAGGAAAAAAGGCCTGAAAATGGAAGGGGATTTTTTCTAGAAAGTAGATTTCTTCCACAAAGAATGGCTTTGCAGGGCCGTTTTAAAATATATCAAAGACATATATTTTGGTATAAAATACTTCAATTTTTTTCAGGGCCTGCTATCTGTCACATTGGTATCTTATTGCTATAAAGAGTCTGCTTTGTCAGTCTTAAGGTCTCTGTTTTAATGTTAATGCTTGTCAGTTATGCTGGAATTCCATAGGAAAGAGGATATAATGAGACAAGTCCAACCACGAATTCCCATCATGGCCTGAACTAGTGTTTCAGGTTAACTTTGGAATGCCCAAGAAGAGAGGTACATTCTGTTGGTTGGGAAACTTAAAATTTTATATTTGGTTTACACGTTTGTAAATACATTATTCTAATTGCATTCTTGTGTAATTTTCTTAAAATTATCTTTGACAGAGCAGGTTTTAATTGTTTTAAAGTCAAATTTATCAAATATTCCTGTAGGAGTTGTGCTTCTGGTGTAATATCCAAGAAACCTTACATAAGCTAATGTAACGAAAGTGGTCTTTTAGTTTTTTTTCTTTTACAAGTTAGTTTTAGGTTATACATTTAGTCCTCTAATTTATTTTGCAGTATTTTGATCTAAGTCATTAGGCATAATCAAGGTTTGTTTTTTTGTATATGATGTCTGATATTTTCAGCACCATTCCCCCATTTTATTGCACTTTAACCTTTGCTAGTATCAATTACTATAAAGCTTGATATATTTCTGGATTCTATATTTTGTTCCACTGATGTATGAGACTATAATTTCACTGATACCAGTGGGGCAAGAGTAAAAATTTGCATTAGTAAAGAGGAGCTGAATGTTAAAAGTGAAGACACTGAGGAAAACCTTTCAAAGGCATTTTAGAGACCTTTGTGGCAGTTTCTCCCATCACAGGCCCAATGTCTAGGAGATAAGGATGATTTCATGGGCCATGACCAGGTCCCTGCTGCCCTGTGCAACCTTTGGGCACTACTCCCTGAGTCCCAGCTACTCTAGCTTTATCTGTGACTAAATGGGCCCCAGATACTTCTCAGGCCACTGATCCAGAGGGTGAAAGTCCTAAGCCTTGGAGGCTTACACATGATGTGAAGCCTTTGGGTGCACAGAGGGCAAGAGTTGAGGCTTGTGAGCCTCTGCCTAGATTTCAGAGAATGTATGGAAATGCCTGGGTGTCCAGGTAGAAGTCTGATGAAGAGGCAGAGCCCTCATGGAGAACTTCTGCTAGGGCAGTGTGAAAGGGAAATGTGGGGCTGGAGCCCCCATACAGTGTCCCTGTCTATTGGGGCACTGTCTATTGGAGCCGTGAGAAGAGGGCTACCATCCTCCATACCCCAGAATGACTCACCCACTGATGGCTTGCACCATGCACCTGGAAAAGCCACAAGCACTTAATACCAGCCATCGGAAGCAACCACAGGGGCTCTACCCTGCAGAGCTACAGAAGTGGACCTGCTCAAGTTCATGGGAGGCCACCCTTTGCATCACTGGGGACTGGCTGTGAGACATGGGGTCAAAGGAAATTATTTTGGAGATTTTTGATTAGATGACTGCATTGCTGGGTTTCAGACTTGCTTGGGGCCTGCAACCACTTGGTGTTGGCTGATTTGTCCCTCCTGAAATGGGTGTATTTACTCAATGCATATGCCCCCATTGTATCTTGGAAGTAATTACATTGTCTTTGATTTTACAGGGTCATAAGTGGAAGGTACTTTCCTTGTCTCAGATGAGATTTTGTACTACGAACTTCTGTGTTAATGCTAAAATGAGTTAATACTTGGGGAACCATTGAGAAGGGATTATTATATTTTCGAATTGTGAGAAGGATATGAGATTTTGGAAGAAATAGGAATGGAAAGATAAGGTTCGAATTTGTATCCCTACCCAAATTTCATGTCGAATTGTAATTCCAGTGGTTGGAGTGGGGGCTTAGTAGGAGGCGATTGGATCACAGAGGCAGTCTTCCCCCTTTCTGTTCTCATGACACAAAGTCAGTTCTCATGAAATGTGGTTGTTTAAAAGTGTATTGCACTCCCACCCACTGCTTCAGACATGAAAGATATGTCTGCATCCCCTTTGCCTTTTGTCATGATTGTAAGTTTCCTGAGGTCTTCCCAGCCATGCTTCCTGTAGGGCCTACAGAACTATGAACCAATTAAACCTTTTTTCTTTATAAATTATCCAGTCTCTGGTAGTTCTTTATAGCAGTGTGAGAACAAATAAAATGCTTTTGCTGCATTTGTGGAGATCAACATAAGGTTTTTTGTTTGGGGGGAAGCAAATGGCATTTTGGGAAAAAGTTGAGAAAATAAGAAATGGAATGCATTGCAGATAATATTAAGAATTATTGCTGATTTTGTTAGCATGATAATTGAATTGTCGTTAAATGAAAAAAATTTTCTCTATGATTTGAGCATATTTGTTAAAGACCTGAGAAGTAAAATGTTATAATAGCTGTAAATAATTGTAAATATTTTAGCTTTTCAATATTTGATTTTTTGTGTAAGTAAATAAAGCAAATATAGCAAAAATTGAACAATCATTAAATGTAGGTGTTTGTTAGGTATACTGTAATGCTTCCCACAGTATTATTTATATTTCTCTGTATATGTGAAATTATTTCATAATAAAAATTTAGAGTTTCTTAGACTTTTTGATACAGCTATAATACAAAATAAGTACAGTATAAGTATTCATATTTAGTACTTAGAATAAATACTAGCCTTTTACATAGCAGTGAGGTTCTCAAACAAATTCAGTGTTCTAACATACATATATGACAAGTAATTTTCTAATGACATATGTTCACTGTTTATTGAGAGAGATAGAGATAAATGTGTTATTTCTAACACATGCAGTCAGCTAGAGGAGTTACAGTTAAGAATGCCTTCTGAGTATTTTAAAATATCAGACCATCAATCATTTATAGACTTTGAGAAAACAAGTGTCATTTAGTATGGGCTTAGATGACAGAAAACTAATTTAATGATTCAAAGCTACATTATCTGTTATGTTCGGAGTGTACTGCTCAGAGTTCATTACCAGCCCTGCATGACCTGACATAAAATCCAATATAGTACATGCCCAGAGGCATTCTGTTGCGAGGTACAAGGAGTCTTTCGCCTGGTTAAATGACAAAAAGGGAGGGATGGAAGGTAACTTGCTTTTGGTGACCTCTAAATCTTTCCAATTACTCATTCTGTGATTGCAAATGCACACTGTTTCAGCTATGCTATAACAGAAAAATAAATAAATTTTACATCATTTTGGAGTCTTAGGGGGTTATGTTGTATTTTTGGAAAGTAAACTTTTCAGCGTGGCTTAATGAACTCTTGAAGTCCTTGGAAAAAAATGAATAGTATAAATTAGCCAACACAGAAATAAGTTTGATAGTTATATGTGTCCCTTGGATTTTTGTATACTTGATGTCACAATTGTATTCTATAAAATGCAATTAATAACTGAAAATCTAATTCATTTTCCATGTTTTTGAACTAATTCCCCACTAAAAGAGAAATATTTTATTTATGTTACTGAAACATTCACTATCTGATATTTGAAGAACTATACGCCTTTTCTACCTCACACATTTTCCACTGTTGGAGAATGGAAATAGTAACATTTAACTGAATTGCCATGAGGATCTCTCTCTGCTAGCATTAACATTAATCACATTTTCTGTCACATTAAACTTGACTGCATTTGGAAATTATTTTGAGTAACTTCTTTCTCATCAAATTATTTCTGCATTTGTAAACTTCCTTGTGGGAAGCACTTCTGTGTAAGTACTGGCAATAATATACAATATTCATAGTAGTAATAAATGTGGCATTTCTGCATTTCTTTCAGGCCTCATGTATTGATTCAAACATGCTACAGCAAGGTAATTGTAACATTTTGATTATTTGTTATAGACACAGAGTTTGATATTTAAAAACAAAATAAAACCCTGGACATGTACATATACTATACATTTGTCATATTAACAGGTCTTGTTTCCACACTAATAAGTCTGATTTATTTTCAGGTTACAGTGATAATATTAGACTCACAAACTGATTCTGGCTGTATACAGGGCTGTAAAAAAAATATGTTTTCTCCTTTACAATACACTTTTGCCTGAAGTACATATTGTTCTACAGGGCGAAGTGTAAACAAATTCTATTAATTTTCAGCAAGTAACTGAGCAGGGAAATAAAATTACCATTTGATTGTAACATGAAAATTTCAAACAGAACATATAAATCAGTATTATTGGCAGTTGGGAAAGACACATTGCCTAGATTACTGTTAGTGACTAGGGAAATAAATGATCATTTTAGAGGATTTCAAAGCACTTGGAAGAGTAAATGAAGATAGCTTCTGAAAACTGCTGATGGGAATTCATCATAATGGAGGCCTAAGTGATATAAACAACATTTATTTCCCTGATTTGATTATTCTAAATGGTAATAAAGTTTGGGCAAAAAGATTTCTTTATATAAAAGATAAATGCTGAAACAGCATTAAAGAATATTCAGAAAGAGTTTGAAATGATACTAACAGGTAGGAGAAAAAGTCTAGTTAACATCATTTTGAACTTAAAGATCCAAAACTTATCTACATGCCCAGCAAGAAACTCACTGGTGTTTCTCTTTTAGAACACGATGCATGGGGTTCAGCAAGGTGCTACGTGAAGAGCATCAGCTTGTCTTTGACACTAGATAAAACTGCATTCAAATTCAGCTCTTTCCAATCATAAGCAGTGTGACTTTAGATTAAGCTTTGCCACCCGATTTTCTCCTCTGTAAAAGTGATTTGGTTTGCTGTTATGTGATGAATGAAATAATAGCTGAAGATATCTGGTATAGCAGTTGAATTCAATATATGTGCCCTAAGAATATTTTTTTTGTCAAGATAAAAACTATAATTTCTTTTTTACACCTCTAGGACACAATTTTTAAATTTGACATATTTTTAAAATCTTTATAATTTTGGTAAATTTGGAAGCTATATCTGCATATACGTTGAGGTTTCTAGAAGCTCTAAGTTGGCATATAAAGAATAAATACTTTAATAATAACCAAGCTAAGATTAGTAACCTGAAGATCTCTTAAGATCATTGAGATCTTTTATTCTTTTTGTTTTTGTTTTTGTTTTGAGACGGAATCTCACTCTGTCGCCTAGGCTGGAGTGCAGTGGCGCGATCTCGGCTCACTGCAGCCTCTGCTCCCTGGGTTCAAGCAATTCTCCTGCATCAGCCTCCTGAGTAGCTGGGACTACAGGCATGTGCCACCATGCCCGTCTAATTTTTGCATTTTTAGTAAAGACGGGGTTTCCCCATGTTGGTCAGGCTGGTCTCAATCTCCTGACCTCAGGTAATCAACACGCTTCAGCCTCCCAAAGTGCTGAGATTACAGGCATGAGCCACCGCACCCGGTGAGATCTTTTATTCTAATTTATGGGTTTGATCATTTATGAGGAAAGGATATCTCATTAGGAAGAGTAATTATATTAACAAAATATATCCATTTCTTTTGAAACTACAATTTTATATTTCAAAATGTAATTATTCTATTTCAGATTTTATGAAAGAAAATATGATATGAATTTTATTCTTTTTTTGTGAATCCAAATCTTAATAGATAATTTTAAGAAATATGTAAAGGAGATTCTCAAGGACTGCCTGAACTTAAGTGACTTATTGACATATTTTATTCTAATGTATTTTACATCTTGCTTATAAACAATAAAATTGTGTTCATCCCTGTAATTCCTATGAGTTTATTATTCAACCTACAGTATTATTTTCTGTTACTGTTTTCTTTCAAAGTGACTAAAGTATATGTTTTATGTTTATAAAACTCTGTGAAACACAAACTTCACTCTTTCTCTTTATTCTCATACTTTGACATAAATTCTTTTATGCAAAGATGTTCTTAATGCAGCGCTGACATCAGATCAGTTCCTAGGTTATTTAAATATAAAGATAAGTCAGTCCCCTGTCTTTGAAAAATATTGATTGAACTAAAGAAAACAAAAATTAAAGCAGGTATTCTGTATACTTCAAAAATATTAATAAAGACTTATTTACAGGATGATATGTGAACACAGATGAATGGACATCAGCGAGAGCCTGGACATTCAGGGTGAGTAGAGGAGAGTCATTCTGAACAGAGGCTTAAAAGAATAATGGAGATTAACAATGAGTATAAATGAAGGAAAAGCCTTCTTGACAGGAAAGAGCAAGATAAAAGTCATGGAATCTTGGCACAACATGTAATCTGAGTAATCTTTTACAAAAGCTACACCATAAGGCAAGGAATAATGGAACGTGTGGCTGGAGAGGCAGGTGACAGTATATGATGCTAAGTTGATTAAAGCTCTCATGAAGACAGTGTACATCACTGAAATTATAGTCAGCATACTGAAATAATCAGGTATGCTTTCAGATAGATGCCACTGATTATAAAAGAATAGACTGAAGTTACAAAAGATAGGAGGAAAATAATTAATTTTTATTAGCAGCTCAGGAGAAAAAAATAAAGCCACAAATTAAATTATTATGAAAGAGAATGGGAATTAAAGGAGAAAATAAAGTATACAGAAAGAAGGAGTTGGAAAGGGACTAAGTAAGGGGCATGAGGTCTCTTGCATTCTGTTTTCATATTTTGTCTATGTGTGACATTTATTACTTCTTTAAATCTGAAGCAACAAATCATCGTCAATATCCCTTCTGAAAAGTATTCATTTGAAATAAAATTAAAATAAATATTTAACATAAAATGTTAGC
Organism: Homo sapiens; assembly: GCF_000001405.40. Lineage (NCBI taxonomy): Eukaryota > Metazoa > Chordata > Mammalia > Primates > Hominidae > Homo > Homo sapiens. Next base: position 24,099,936 of record NC_000005.10, on the reverse strand, counting down.
AAACTGTAATAATCTTCATAAGCAATTGGTGATGGTTAAGATTTATATTACAATTGCTGGAAGAATTATAAATAAGATAACATATCTACCTTTAGGTGGGAAATTAATGCAATTAAAGTTCATTTATTTAATGTAATATGTGTATGTATTTTATACATAATTAATTATAAAATCCTATTTTACAGAATGTAGGTTAACATTCAGAGAATATGAATAAGCGACTACTAGTGAAGAAATGGAAATGTTTATAGAATACATCATTTAAGTCTAGACTTAAAAATAGGTAGCAATTTAAATGTAGTTTGTGTATTTAGCAAAACAAGCAACAAACCCAAGATGCCTAGTTGAATTTGAATTTCAGATAAACAATGGATAATGTATTAGTGTAAATATGCCTCATGCAATATTTGGTATATATTTCTACTAAAAGTTAACCACTGTTTATCTGAACTTTAAACATAACTGATCATCTTCTATTTTATCTGGTAAACCCAGATTTAAAGGAAAATAGCAGTTAAATAAGAAAACCAAAACAATAAAGTCATATATGATATATGTACCACATAAATATTGTGGTGATTCTTTTTGACAAAGAAAATATGTTGTGATGAGAGAAACATAAGCTTAAAGAAATAGGAGTTCACATTTATATAGCATTAACTGTTAGAGAGAGAAATGTAATTTGTAGAAGTAAGAAATGGAAATGTGAAATCATCTAAAGCTTTGACAAGAAAATCCAAATATATCTAAGAATAATATATCTAGAAATTGAATTTATAATGGATTGGAATATTAAAGATTGTGGGGTCAGAAGAGGAATTCAAAATACTATTCATCCTGGGTCTGCAGTATACCTTCTGATAAATTACATCAAGTAAAAAGAGAAAGTCTATGATAAAAGAGAAAGTGTGGTCGAGTATTAAATGTGATTTCAAAGACAGAATACTTGGGAAGGATGATAAGCTTGCTGAATACATTACTGGACTTTTTTTTTCTTTTTTAGTATTAATAAAGAGGAGTTCTCAAAGTTTAGTGAGTAAGGGCCTTCTTATTTCAGCTGTGATTGGGATGATGGTACTGGAATAGCCTTCTCAAAGTAAATGACTAGAAAACTTGGCAAGATGTAAGAAATGACTGTTTGCAGACATCAGACAATAGGACACACAGCACCGTGAAACCCAACTAGAGGCACTTACTGATTTTAGAAGAGGAAATCCAAATAGAGCATGCTGGTTTGGAGACAGAGATCAGTACATGGGGGAACTAAGACAGAATTTAATCAGCATAATAGCTGAGAGGAGGTGCCTATGTAGAAAAAGAGCTTTGGAAATCTCTGTAAGGAACCACTTGCTTTCTTTACTGAATATAGTAAATCCTGAGTTAATGTCCTCAATAGGTTCCTGGAAACTTCAACTTTAAGCAAAATGACACATAATTAAACCAATTTTACCATAGGCTAATTGACCCAAACAGGAGTTAAGTTCCTACAGAATATTTCTGGTCACAAAAATATCAATTTAGACACACAAATTGACCTAACAAGCGCATCGCTAAGATCTGGGAGGAAACCTGTGTGGTCAGAGACAACCCACACAAACATGGGGAGAACATGCTAACTTCACAAAAACATGCAAACTCCATGGCCAGAAATCAATTTTTTCTCATCATTTAAACAAAATGACATTGAACAAAATGATATTATTTGAAGACCTCCTGTAATAAGTTCTCATGCATGGGCTGAGACTTCACAAATCTGGGTAAAGAACAACTACCAGAGAATGAAAGAACTTCAAAGTAGCTTAAAGTTAAAAAATGACTTCAGCTTACCAAATGGAGGGGAAGTCCAATATCCAAATATCAAAGCATATTGACTTTCTTGAACCCTGGGAATTTAGTAGATATCTTAGAAAGACCACCCACTCCTTAGGAATACAGCTTAAATGAGCCTTAGAGTAAAGCCTGAGATGGTCCTATATAAATTTACTTAATCTGAAAGTAAAATACCTGCCCAACAGAAGAAAATCAGTACTGTTAAAAAGAAGAAAACAAAATTTAACAAATAAATGTAACAATAAAAAATGTGGCACATAGTTGAAAATAAATTAATCTATAGAAACAGAAATAAACAAGATGATGAATTAGCAGACAAGAACTTTAAAAGAGCTATTACAACTACGTTTTGAAATTGAAAAGAAAAATGTAAACACAGTAATAAGAGAAATGAACACTATTAAAAAATGACAAAATTGGTCTCTGGCAGGTAAAATAGGTATTCAATATCAAAAATACAATTTTACCAGATGTTTTAAATAGTAGATTAGATACTGTAGAATAAAAGATCAGTTAAATTGAAGACAAGCCAAGAGAAACTATTCTACTTGATTTGCAGAGAAGAAAAGCAGAAAAATAATGAATAGAGAGTCAGTGATATATGTGAACTTTCGAGCAGTCTAATATTAGTGTACTGAGAATCTCAGAAGTGTGAAGGAAGGGCATATGAAATATAGGGGGAGAAATGAGTGAAAGAAAACAGAAAAAACAAAATGGTAGAAAACAAATGGAACCAAAGTTAGTTATTTGAAAAGATCAATAAAATTGACTAAGCTCTAGCTAGATTGATAATAATACAAGAAATAATAACTAAAGGAAAGAAAAGAAAAAGAAACAAGAATAATTATTAATATGAAGAATGAAGAAATAAATAGTACCAATGATACTGGTATTCAAATAAAATTACTGGAGTATTATGAAGAACTTCATGTTAATAAATTTGAATGCTTTGATAAGATGACAATTCCTTGAAAGACAAAATTGAGCAAGATTCACCCAAGGAAAAAAAGGAAAAATTTGAAATTCATTAATAAATTGAATTTATAATTAGAAGCCTTCCAAGGAAAACTTCAGGCTCAAATAGCTTCAGTGGTGAATTCTATCAAACATTTAAGGAAGAAATAATACTATTTTTATACCAATTCTTCCATAAAATAAAAAAAGGAAGAAAATCTTTTCAAAAGGAGTTGCGTAGATAGATAATAAAGCACACAAATAGATGCTCAACAGTATTTGTCTTCATTGAATTCAAATTTAAAGCACAAAAAAATATGAATATGCATGTACTAAAAAGCCCATAAATTAGTCTACTTCAAGTGTTGGCAAGGGTATTGAACAACTGGAACTTTCATATGTTGCAGGTGGTGTTACAATAAAACATAATTATTTTGAGGTAGGTATTTATACAAAAGAAATAAAAGTAATATCTAAACAAAATGCTGTATACTGATATTCATAAAAGCTCTATTCATCATAATTTCAAATCTAATAACCTTAATGTCCATCAACTGGTGAACTATAGAACAAAAATGTGTGCATTTTATTGCACGTAAATTGTATTTTAATAAATTCGATTTCAAAATTCAGTCAGTATATTAATCACATGTATAGTTTATTAAAATACACATTCTCAGACAGTCTTGACACTTATTCCCATCAGAGAGATGAGGGAGTTAGGGATGAAGAACCTCACACATAACTGCCATATTTGAATTCAATAATGAGAATGTTTGCTGGAACCAGATGTTATATACTATGTATTTTAAATACAATATGCAGCTGTCTGCATATTAATGTATATGTATTAAATACATATGCAGCTGCAAATGTCAATATGCAGCTAATTTTGCTCCTAATTTTTCTGTTATTAAAATTTTCTATACTTAGTTATATAGTGTCCTTTTTACATTAACTTGACAGCTTTCTAAGGATAGGAAGACAAATGAGTTAATATAAAAAAGTAACAACTGAGAAGCTGTGTTATTTCTTCCATATCATTTGATAAATAGAGATCTACATTTCCATTTAGTATAATATAGTCATAGGAACTGGGGCTTAGATATGGAGACATTTTCCATTTTTTCAATTTTATTATCAGTTTGCAATTTACGTCAGATACTGAGCAAACATATGAAGAAACGTTTTACCACATGATATGGTTTGGCTGTGTCCCCACCCAAATCTCATCTTGAATTGTAGCTTCCATAATTTCCTCATGTTGTGGGAGGGACCCAGTGGGAGACAACTGAACTACGGGGGCAGTTTCCCCCATACAGTTCTTGTGGTAATGAATAAGTCTTATGAGATCTGATGGTTTTATAAGGGGGAAACCCCATTTGCTTGGCTCTCATTCTGCTCTTTCTGCCACCATGTGAAATGTGCCTTTCACCTTCCGCCATGATTGTGAGCCATGTGGAACTGGGAATCCATCAATCCTCTTTCTTTTGTGAATTGCCCAGTCTTGAGTATGTCTTTATTAGCAGTGTGAAAACAGACTAATACACCATATAAAACTTTGTCTCATAAACCTACTGTTTCAATTACTTAACAAAAGGTCTTAAACAAAATATTATAACATTTCAGTGATTTCTCTGACAGTTAAATAATCAAATATTTATATGGAAAACAGTAAGCTTTCATGACTTGTACGTACTCTAAGCCTGTGCATATGAAAAGCTGTCTCTTTCATCTATTTAAAGAAATAGGCCGGGCGCAGTGGCTCACACCTATAATCCCAGCACTTTGGGATGCCAAGGCAGGAGCATCACCTACGGTTGGGAGTTCAAGACCAGCCTGACCAACATGGAGAAACCCCGTCTCTACTAAAAATACAAAAAATTAGCCAGGTATGGTGGCACATGCCTGTAATCCCAGCTACTCTGGAGGCTGAGGCAGGAGAATCGCTTGAACCTGGGAGGTGAGGTTGCAGTGAGCAGAGATCGCGCCATTGCACTCCAGCCTGGGCAACAAGAGCGAAACTCCATCTCAAAAAAAAAAAAAAAAAAAAAAAAAAGAATTAGTGTAACACTTTGCCATCATTAATTTATTAAAAAAAAAGGTATACAAATATTGAGTGCCTACTATATTCAGTGTTCCATGGGCAACAAAAATATAATCCAAACATAGTTCATATGCCAGCAATATGGAAAAATATAAGAGAAAATGTCAAGATATTTAAATATGGTTAGAAAATTAGCATTGCCATAAGGGAAGAGAAAAAGCACAATAGAGATCCAGAAAAAACCATGATCATATATTATCCATGAGGAAAAAAATAACTACAGGAAATAAGAAGTAAGGAATACCATAATTAATTAAATAAAAACTACTTACTCATTCAATTATTTTTCTATAAATAATCTGTGTATTAAACATATACTTAAACCAATTTTCTGGTATAATCTTTAAGGTCAGCAAGATAAGCACTCCTTAGAATACAAACTGCAGTATTTCTCCAAGTAATACACCATGTGATGGTTAATATTGACTGTCAACTTGATTGGATTAAAGCAGGCAAAGTATTGTTTCTGGGTGTGTCTGTGAGGGTGTAGCGAAAAGAGATTAACATTTAAGTCAATGGACCGGGAAAGGCAGACCCGCCCTCAATCCAGGTGGGCACAATTTAATCAGCTGACAGCGTGGCCAGAACAAAAGCAGGCAGAAGAATGTGGACTGCCTAGACTGGCTGAGTCTTCCAGCCTACATCGTTCTGCTGTGCTGGATGCTTCCTGCCTTCAAACATCGGACTCCAAATTCTTCAGCTTTGGGACCTTTGACCACAGACTGAAGTCTGATCTGTTGGCTTCCCTACTTTTGAGGTTTGGGACTCAGATTGGCTTTCTTGTTCCTTAGCTTGCACGTGGTCTATTGTGGGACTTCACGTTGTGATCCTGTGAGTCACTACACTTTAATAAACTGCTCTTTATATATACATCTATCATATTATTTCTGTCCCTCTAGAGAACCCTAATACACTCCAACAATTCAGAGGTTATAGCCTCCTAATTTGGCTATTCATTCAGGTTTCCTTTTTTTTTCATGCTAAATTAGAAACTGAGTGGTGGTTATACATGGTGAGTAAATTGTGGTTGTAGAGACAGAACACAGAGCTTAGAAATACGAAAAATAAAAAAAATAGCATTTTTATTGTGGGAGAAGTCAGAATTGTATGATTATTTATATATATATATATATTTTTACTTTAAAAGATTTGTTATAGCAAAGGAATGACTTGAATATGCTTGAAGCTAAAAAAAAAAAAAAAGAGCCATCAGAATATTTGAGACTGATTGACTGATTGTTGAAGATACTAAAAAGAGAGAGACTGTGGGATGTCTTATGAGAGACAGAAAACATAAATCATTTCTTACAGTAAAGACTTTAGACAGGCAATGGATAACTAGCTCTTCTTCTGATACTGGATAGAGCTTTTAAAGAAAATACAATTGTAAAACCTGACATCTTTGAAAGCTAAGCTCCACAATATCTAACGAGAATAAAGGAAGAGACGGGGGTAGACATGACAAAATTGACTGTGGGAGTGATGCAACAGCTAAACAGGGAATTCAGAGCTCAGTTCATTTGGGTTGCTATAAATAAATACCCGAGGATGGGTAATTTATAAAGAAAAGACGTTTATTTGTCTCATGTTTCCAGAGGCTGAACACAAAGCATGGCCTCAGCATCTGCTTCTGAGGTGGACTTCAGGCTGCTTTCACTCATGGCAGAAGAAGGGAAGCCAGTTTGTGCAGGTCATATGACAGGAGAAGGGGCAGTGTGAGGCTCTTTTCAATCATAAGTTCTCTTTGGAACTTAAGAGTGAGAGCTCACTCACTCTTGGGAATGGCACCAACGATTCATGACATATCTTCCCCCTGTGACTCAAGCAACTCCCACCAGGCCTCACCTCCAGCACTGGGGAACAAATACCAATATGAAACTTGGTAGGACCAAACAAACCATATCCAAACCATAGCAAGGAAATCCATGGGGCTAGTGCATGTAGGTATGTGTGTGCATTTGCAGCTTTTTGCAGCTTCGGAGTATGCCATTTCCATTGAGTCATCATAGGTAAGTATAGGTATTAGAAACATTTCCTTGCAAAACTCACTCAACTGCTTTGAGGAAAGGCACATTTTTCTACTTAACGCCACATTACCATTTTGTTTAAGAGTGGGGGCATTAAGAAGCAGCAAATTAAATATTGTAGGGCAGAGTGGATGCCCTGGGTGAAGCAAAGGACAGTGTGGATATGAATTGACCACCCAGGGGCAAGAAAATAAAAACAAAAAAAAAATGTGGCCCACTATATAGTTATGAGTGACAGACATGTTTTTGAGCTAAATAATTTCTAATTCAAATAGAATAAAATGAGAGATTTTAGTAAATATTGCAGAGAATGTGTAAAATATCTGAAACGGCCTCGTTTTGATAAGAGAGATAGAGGAGTAATCACAGGCTTGTTAAAAGATGAAAAGATAAGTTAGTGGAGTGTTTGCATCCTAAGAAACAAGTGGTAAGTCTGAATGGTAATTTAAACTTTCCAATATTGACTAATAAAAATTGCTACTTCAAATAACAAAAACACTTTTTATAACGTCTTCTAATTTTTTCCTTTGATTAATGTTTTATGTTTAATCTATTTACAAAGATTTAATGAGGAGAAATATTTATGGCTATAAAATGGCAAATTAATTCTGATTATGTAATGACCTCAACTATATGCTATATTTAATTAAAATTGTTATGTGTTTTATCACATTGTTGATTTTTATGATCTTAAATGTGGCCTTTCTGGAAGTGGTGGTTTTAGCAGATTTTCTATTTTTACAATCTGATTCTAATTTATTTGACTGACTAGTTCGCTCTTGACAAAGCATAACCTTTTGTTGTATTAACCACATACACATGTGGAGTTAAACAAAAGAAGATGAAGCAAGAAAAATACATATGAAAAATAATAAAGATAAGTATGCCAATTCTTATTTTAATAAAGTATAACTAACATTATTTGACATTTACAATTATTAAAGGTTCTAAATCCTACATTTAAAATAGAAATTTAGGGCCAAGATTTCTGATATTAATAAATTATATACTTATATTTCTTTATTTCATATGTCACTTGATAAAATACTAGGTGAGTGAGAATTTAAGCTGCCCCTTGAGATATTACTCATAGTGATCCAGAGCCAGATGTCATGGGTTCAAATCTCCACTCTGTCACTTACTAGAAATATAAATTTGAATAAGTTACTTAATCTCCCTATGCCTCAGTTTTCTTTTTTTTTTTTTTTTTTTTTTTTTTTTTTTGAGACGGAGTCTCGCTCTGTCGCCCAGGCTGGAGTGCAGTGGCGCAATCTCGGCTCACTGCAAGCTCCGCCTCCCGGGTTCACGCCATTCTCCTGCCTCAGCCTCCCAAGTAGCTGGGACTACAGGCGCCCGCCACTACGCCCGGCTAATTTTTTGTATTTTTAGTAGAGACGGGGTTTCACCGTTTTAGCCGGGATGGTCTCGATCTCCTGACCTCGTGATCCGCCCGCCTCGGCCTCCCAAAGTGCTGGGATTACAGGCGTGAGCCACCGCGCCCGGCCTGCCTCAGTTTTCTTATGTGGAAAATGGGGGTGACAATAATGGTTCATCTATCTTATAAGTTCTATCTCATGGATGCTTGGGGGAGAACAACACACACTTGGGCCTGTTGGAGGGCAGGGTTTAGGAGGAGGGGAGAGGGTCAGGAAGAACATCTAGTGAATGCTTTGCTTAATCCCTGGGTGATGGGATGATCTGTGCAGCAAACCACTATGGCACACATTTACCTATGTAATAAATCTGCATACCCTGCACACGTGGTAAGGACACATGGATGGTTGGGGGAGAACAACACACATTCCCACTTGTAACACAAGCTCCCACTTATAAGTGAGAATATGTAGTATTTGGTTTTCTGTTCCTGCATTAGTTTGCAAAAGATGCTAGCCTCCAGCTCCATCTATGTCCCTGCAAAGAATATGATCTTGTTCATTTTTATGGCTGTATAGTATTCCCTGGTGTATTTGTGCCATATTTTCTTTATCCAGACTATCAATGATGGGCATTTAGGTTGAATCCACATCTTTGTTATTGTAAATAGGGCTGCAATGAACATACATGTGTCCATATAATAGAAGGATTTATATTCCTTTCGGTATATACCCAGTTATGGGATTGCTGGGTGAAGTGGTATTTCTGCCTGTAGGTCTTTGAGGAATTACCACACTGTCTTCCACAATGGTTGAACAAATTTACATTCCCACCAACAGTGTAAAAGCATTCCTTTTTCTCCACAACCTCACCAACATCTGCTGTTTTTTGACTTTTTATTAATAGCCATTCTAACTAGCGTGAAATGGTATCTCATCGTGGTTTTGATTTGCACTTCTCTGTGATTAGTGATATCGAGCTTTCTTTCATATTTGTTGGCTGCATGTATACCTTCTTTTGAGAAGTGTCTGTTCATGTCCTTTGCCCACTTTTTAAAGTTTCTTTTTTTCTTTTAAATTTGTTTAAGTTCTGCATAGATTCTGGAAAGCTTTATCATTATGTAATGCCCTTTTATTGTCTTTTTTGATTTTGGGGGTTTAAAGTCTGTTTTGTCAGAAACTAGGATTGCAACTCCTGCTTTTTTCTGTTTTTCATTTGCTTGATAAATGTTCCTCCATCGCTTTATTTTGAGCCTGTGGTGTGTCTTTGCATGTGAGCTGGAACTCTTGAGCATAGCACACCTCTGGGTCTTGTTTTTTATCTAGCTTGCCACTCTGTGTGTTTTAATTGGGGTATTTAGCCCATTCACATTTCAGGTTAGTGTTGTTATATGTGAATTTGATCCTGTCATGATGCTAGCTGTTTATTTTACAGACCGGTTGATGTGGTTGCTTCATAGTGTCACTGATCTGTGTACTTTGGTGTGTTTTTGTAGTGGCTGGTAAAAGTTTTTTCTTTCCATATTTAGTGCTTCCTTCAAGGGCTCTTGTAATGCGGGTATGGTGGTAATGAATTCCCCCTGCATTTGCTCATCTAAAAAGAATCTTATTTCTCCATTGCTTATAATATGGTTTGGTTCTGTGTCCTCATCCAAATCTCATCTTGAATTGTAATCCCCATGTGTTGAACAAAGGACCTGATGGGAGGTGATTGGATCGCGGGGGTGGTTTCCTCCATGCTGTTCTTGTGATAGTGAGTGAGTTCTCATGAGATCTGATGGTTTGAAATTGTTTGGCATTTTCCCCTCTCACTCTCTCTCTTTTCTGTCACCATGTAAGTCTAACTACTTTCCCTTTACCTTCTGCCATGATTGTAAGTTTCCTGAGGCCTTCCCAGCCATGCAGAACAGTCAATTAAACCTCTTTTCTTTATAAATTGTCCATCCTCACGTAGTTCTTGATAGCAGTATGAAAATAGACTAAAAAAAAGTTGGTCCCCAGAGAAGTAGGGTACTGCTATAAAGATGCCTGAAAATGTGTAAGTGACTTTGGGACTGGGAAAGGGGCAAAGGTTGGAACAGTTGGCAGGGCTTAGAAGAAGATAAGATGTGGGAAAGTTCTGAATTTCCTAGAGATGTATTGAATGGTTTTGACCAGAATGAAGACAGTGATATGGATGATGAAGTCCATGCTGAAGTGGTCTCAGATAGAGATAAGGAACTTATTGGGAACTATGTTATTTCAGAAAGTGTTTCAGCTCTGAGATTCTTCTGCTTGGTCTATTTTGCTATTAACACTTGTAATTGCAATGTAAAGGTCTTACCAGTTTATTTTTCAGCTCTATCAGTCAGGTTGGTTTCTCTCAGAACTGGCTATTTTGACTGTCAGCTTCTTCATTGTTTCATAATTCGTAATTCTTAGCTTCTTTTTATTAAGTTACAGCATGTTCCTTTAGCTCAGCAAAATTCATTTTTATCCATATTCTGAAGCCTACTTCTGTCATTGCAACCATCTCAGCCTCACCCAGGTTATGAACCCTTGCTGGAGTGGTGTTGTGGTCATTTGGAGAAAAGAGGGCACTCTGGCTTTTTAGTTTTCAATGTTTTTGTGCTGATTTTTTTTCATGTGTATTTGCTTATTTATCTTCAATCTTTGAGGTTGCTGACCTTTTCGTGGTCACACAACCTGGGTTTTAGTGTTCTTTGTTTGTTTGTTTGTTTGTTTGTTTGTTTGTTTTTAACAGCCTGGCCACTTCTTCATAGGGCTGTTGCAGTTTGCTGGTGGTCCACTCCAGTTAAGGCTGCAAAACAGCAAATATGTCAGCCTGCCCTTTCCTCTGGGAGCTCCATCCCAGGTGGATACTGACTTGTTGCCAATTCAAATGCAACTGTAGGAGGTGGTTGGAGACCCAGGTCGGGAGGTCTCACCCAATCAGAAGGAACGGGATCTGGGACCTGCTTAAAGAAGGAGTAGTGCTGCATTTTGGTAGAGCAGTTGTGCTATGTTGGGGATCCTTTCAATCCCTGATTGGTTTGGGCTCTCCAAGGCCTACAGGCTGGACCAGCTGAGATGCCCAAACAACAAAGTTGATGACACTCTTTCCAATAGACAAGTCAGAACTCTGTCCATAAAATATGAATGGGGGTGGCCAGAAGCTCTGGCTGGGAGAACCCCTCTCCCACGTAAGAAGGAATGGGTCAGGGTCCCGCTTAAAGTAGAAGTTTGGTCATGCCTCAATAGAACAGAATAGAACAGCCATGTCATAGTGGGTAACTGCCTCTGCCCAGTCGGCTTGGATTCTCCAAAGCCCACAGGCTGGAATGGTTGAGTCACCCAAACAGCAAAGATGGTGGCCCACCCCACAGTCCCTTCATCCCAGGAAGAAATAGGAACTCTGTCCATAGATTACAGGTGGAGTGGCCAGAGGCCTGGGTGGGAGGACCTTCCCAGTGGGAATGAATGGATTGGGGTCCTGCATAAAGATGCATTCTGGCCACGTTTTGGTAAAGCAGCTGTACTGTGGTGGGGGAGTCTCCTTCTCAACCAGACCATTTGGACTCTTCAAAGCCCACAGGCTAGAACAGTTAAGTTGTCCAAACAACAAAGGTGGCTGCCTGCCCCTCCCCCTGGGTACTCTGTCCCAGGGAGAAATCAGAATTCTGTCCATAGAATAAGGGCAAGGGTGGTTGGAGGCCACAACTGGAAGGACCAACCCAATAAGGAGGAATGGATCAGGGTCCCACTTAAAGAAGCAGTCTGGCCATGCTGTGGCAAAGCAGCTGTGCTGTGCTGGGGGTTCTTTCCTCATATGGGGGGTCCTTTCCTCATTTGGAGAGACCATTTGGGCAAGTTCCTTAGCCTCTCTGGGCCTCTGTGGCTTCACTGGGACAATGGGGAGAATTGTAGCTCGTACCTCTGGGTGGCTGTGTAAAAATGAACACCAGTAGATTATTACCAAGGTAAAGAACTAGAACATTGCTGGCATATGTATCTTAAGATGACCGAAAATGTGCTTCCACAGTTCTAGCCATTGAAGGGATGCCAAAGTAGAGAAAAAGAAAATCCTCTTTCTCTCTTTTAGATCAATATTAGGAAATTAAATTAAAACATACATAAAAGAAATAGTTCATAGCCTCAAGGACAAAATTGGCCAAAGGTGTAGGGTTTTTAAAAAGGTAGACATTTCTTTACTGTTTGCCAATGACTTTGTGAAACAGTTAAAATTTGATTTGGGTTTTAAAGTCAAATCTCTATCTTAAGAAATCTATGTGGTTTATAATTTGAGAATAATTAAAATTCTAAAAGTCTTCCAGCACTGCTAGGCTAGTAATTAAAAGACTGCATGCAAGCCTTGGTTATCAAGTAGTCTTATTTATAACTATATTGTTACATTCCTTCCACCTCCTCACTAAATCTTCCACAAGAGAAGCACAGGATTAGTAAAGGAGTTATCATTAATTTTACATTCTTCCTTAGAAGAGGGACACTGGGTCTCAAAATTATACTTGTTAGGAACAAAAGGAGCCCACTAGTTTAAAGCAAATGCTGACATTTCAAAAGATTATAAACGTGGTTAGCAACTGAATGACTTACAAGTCAAGCAGTTATTTTCCCAGCAAAGCCATCTGACTACTTTCTCACAGACCATAAATTTCTTTTTAAAAAGTTCCTGTGAGCTTGCTATCTGCCATAGTATTAAACTATTTTAGTGTTTAACAGAAGATATGCTAACTGAATAAATATGGTTAAAAATACAAATGAGGAATTGTACAGTTTCTGTTCAGATTTACCCTTGTATATATTACTACTTATAATGACATAGGATTGAAAATATAAATTTTTTTCTGATGTGATTTAACAATTTAATCTCAATGCATTTAAACCAATTTTACTTGCATTAAAGGATATCTGTGTTAAATACATCAGTATAATTTGATTCCAGTGTTTTTCACAAGCTTTCTATTACATAAAAAACTTAATATGAATATTAAATTAGCTTCTAAAAAGAATTGTTTTGCAATTATTTCTGTCAGTATAGTATGCTGGTTGTTTGATTTTTCACTGGAAAAATATATTGTAGAGCCTGGAAACGTGATCAAGAGAAATCTGGTTTAATATTTAATTTCTACAAACAACAATTTTATGTGATCAGGAACAGATTATTTTAACTCTTTAAAAAACACTAGTCTTTATATATTTTCTCATTAGTAAAATGGAGTTGAAAATAGTGCTTAACTAACAGGGTATTTTGAGTGTTACAGAAGTTAATAAGTAAAAATACTTAGAAGGAATTCTGGGATATCGTAAGTATACAGTGCATGCAGACCATAAGAGTATTCTATGTTTTTCTGTCAGTTTGTCTTCCTACCATTTCTTTTCCATTTTCTCGTTTATTTCTTCCGGAAATGTCAATAGATCTACAGTGACACCAGGGATTGTCAAATCGTTTGCTTCACTATATATTCTCCAAAACCATCTTTCTTGCTTTTCTTCTCCCAGTTATACTTCCCTGCCTTCCTCGCTGGTAAGTGTGCCATGAGAATGTATGTTGTCTAAATAAGTGGAAAGGGTAGTGATTAAACCATTTCTAGGCTATTTAACAATAACGTCTTGCAAGATCCTCCACGTTTTCTCTCTTCCCTTGGCCTACCAATCCAATTGAGGGGATACAGGGAAGCTTATGGGAGAAATAAGAGAAAAAGAACAATGAAGCTTGAGTCACTGAATAATTGGGTGGATGATAAAAAATAAGTCTCTCAGATGATACATATTGTATTATTATATGAAAAAATAAAGATTTTGTTTGGTGGTACATCACTGAGAGTTTGCTATTGCAGTTGTTTTTATAACACTTAATTGACCATATCCATGGGGACAATATATGCCTTCACTTCTCCAGTACTCAATAAATGACTGCTGCCTGTTTGATGACTATAAATCACAATTTATCAGATAACATAATAAACCTTTAAAAGTCTCTTCGTACATAAATGATGAGAAGGAGGCTAACTAATATTTTATTTCTTAAAGAATATGTTACTTTCTCAATTAGATTTTAACATAAAGTTAAATTTTATAGAGCATACTTAAACATGGTTAAGCAAGCAAACTTATAATTTTGAAACTTTAGTCTTCCTTTACTGAAATATTGTGAAGTTAAATTAATCTTCTTTGTATTTGATATTGTTTAAAATATTACTCAGTGAGACAAAGACTCTTCATATCTCTTTTAGTCTATTTTTAATTGCCTTCTCACATCAAATTACTAAAAGTAATCAGCAGATTTCAAAATATCTATCTCATACAAAACTTTGCAATGTTTATCTGACTAATTCTCTCGTATATTCAGAACAGTCAAAAGTTTGTGAAAGTGCATAATAGGGATTCACCTTAGATAAAGTGAAAAGAGAAAATAAATTGAGAAAATATAAAAACTGCTGACTAGCACCTCTGTCTTTCAGTAAGGGAAGTAGGAGAAAATATGAAAGGAATTTCAGCATGAAGGATTTGGAATTACTTCCTGTCAGCAAGGGCACTAAAATATATGTTTTTTTGATTGAACAATAAACTTAGGCAATAAAGAAGTAAAAAATCCAATAACGTCTGATTACACAAATATTTTATGTACCATAGGTAAGTCAATACCCAATTTAAAGCAAAAACAAAACCACCAAATTTTACTGTACCTTAGGTTAAATATTTTGACCATTACACTTTACCATAAATAGCACATTAATAATTGTTAATCACTGTACAATGTAGTCTTTGACAAAACTTTTAAACTATTTCATTTGGTTGAGGGGTGTACAATGCTTAATAGAAGCTAATTTATCTTATGATGCTTCCATAAACCTTTCACTGAAGGTGATACCAAATCTATATCAGAGATAAAATGTTTAACACTATATTTCTATTTGCTACACAATAGTTCATTCTCCCAATTAACGAAGGGAAAATATTGTCTGCAATTATCTGATTGCTGGGTGTTCTGATTGCTGATATTCTGATATTACAGACACTACCTAACTGAAAGAAAATGATCCTATTTGTTTTTAATAGCCTCTGAGGGATATACTAATCTAATGAAATTGAAACAGGAAAGAAAATGGCTAGCATACAGTTTTTGTAGTAAACTATTTTAAGAAGAAAAAATATGATATGATTAATCTTCTAAACCTTCTTCAATGGTGCCAACTCAGTGAGGGGCATTAAAGTGCAATTAAGGGCCTAAATAATCTCTTATGGTAATATCCTTAAGGGAGGCTACTGATTAAACTACTAAATGTGGACATACAGAATATAAAACTGGAAATAATCAAGAGCTTGCTAAACTGCTAATTTGAGCTTATATTTAGATTAAATAATTGGCTGAAACATTATGTTGTTCTTAAATTTGTTTTTTTTTTTTTTTTGTAGCTCAAGAACACATAATTGCTGATTTGGGGTCTTAATTTTTTTTTCAAAGAAGAAATATTAAAACTTTCTATCATATATTTTCATGAGCTTTTAAAACTCATTCTATTCTATTAAATAAATCTCAGAATTGAAATGTCTGTACTAAGGAGGCACACATGGTAACTGGGGGCCCATAATTGAGTGTTTTGTTTCTACTAAGCTCCAGTAGCAAGCCTAAAGCTGTTTCTTGAATCATTATCTGTTAAATGAGAGGATTTTTCTCCAAAATCCTAAAGGTCTACACTTGATTCACCTATAAAAGGCTGCCAAAGATCCAGAACAGTGTACTTGCCTCTGATACTTCAATCACAGTCAGATCTGCTGTATCAATACGGATCAAGTGGAAGATGGCTTGCATAGCAAATGGCAATGCAGACTTTTTGGACAGCCTTTTTATGTCCTGGGCCTCCATCAAATTATCACCTTTTCAAGTCACTAGGAAAACGGGCAGAGTAGTACACCCAGAGGAGGAATATGTTGCCTCCAAAACCCAGAAAAGCCCATGAGCTGTGGACTGTGTGTCTTTAATTTGATTGCAGTTCAGGTCAAATGCGATATATTATCCTTTGCCCTAGAAGAGATCTCTTGATGTATTAGTCAGGGTTCTCTAGAGGGACATAACTAATAGAAGATACACACACACACACACACACACATATACACACACACACTCACATATATATAAAGGGGAGCTTATTAAGAGTTAACTTACACAATCACAAGGTCCCACAATAGGCTGTCTGCAAGCTTGAGGAGCAAGGAGAGCCAGTCCGAGTCTCAAAACTGAAGAACTTAGAGTCCAATCCAATGTTTGAGAACAGGAAGCATGCAGCACGGGAGAAACATGTAGGCTGGGAGGCTAGGGCAGTCTCACATTTTCACATTTTTCTGCCTGCTTTATATTTGCTGGCAGCTGATTAGATAGTGCCCACCAGATTAAGGGTGGGTCTACCTTCCCCAGCTCACTGACTCAAATAGTGATCTCTTTTGGCAACACCCCCACAGACACCCAGGATTAATACTTTGTATCCTTCAATCCAATCAAGTAGACACTTAGTATTAACCATCATATTTGATATGCCTTCCACTATTAGACCCATAGATATTTCACTCAGGTGAAAATTCCCTGAATTTTAGTAAAATTTATTTTACATTCTTTGATACACAAATGTCTTACCAATATAACTAGAGTGGTTGCTATTTCTAGTTCACTATATCCAATTAGCATATTTTATTAGTATAACAGACCAGCATGATGCCCTGTGGAAAGGGAAGGGAATCAAGTTTCTTGTGAACTAAATTATACAACTTGCAAGTCAATTACTCTTAAGGTAGGAGACTTAACATGTATTGTTAGTCCTGAATGCTTAAAGAAAACTGACTCTGGTGGTCTTTACAAACAGTTACAAGAAGAAAAAAAAAATAAAAGCCAGATCATGAATGGCATACCAAAACCAGAGTGTGTGTAATTTGTTCAAGTAATGAAACAAATCTAGAAAGGCAGATGCAGTCAGAGTCATGACCCGGTTGAGTTCATGATAATCCACTGCCATTTTGTAAAAATTGAACTGGTTTCTGTGCAGAGACCAGAACTTTTCTTTGGCAAAACCAAATTCTACCCCACTGGGTAGATTACCGCTATGCAATCTACCCCACTGGGTCAAGTCTCCCTTAAAAGAGAGAGAGAGAGAGAGAAACAATAAGAATACAAACAACAAAATAAAACAAACCAAAAAGTGATCAGATATTTAGTTTTTGGAGAAGCCAGTGTGGAAATAGGGATATATTTTTTAAAATAGCTAATTGCTCCTATAATAAATAATCAGTTCATTAATTTCTTAATTTATTTGTATAAGCACAATAGTTCTAGGTTGAATGAACAGAAGCTTAACTTGAATCACCAAAACAGAGAGACATGGCCCCTCGATCAGTTTTCAGACTTGAGCCAGTTTACATACCCAGAATCCTTTAAATGAAAGGGAGGCTGGCTCCTCTAGGAAGGAACTTGTAACACTAAGTATTTGTGATCCTATTTCTCATAAAATTCTCCAAAGGGACATATGATAGTTTACCAGGATGATTTTAGCTTGTGAAGGGAAATAATCAGAATTTTGGGAGATTTCTGAACACTGGCACTGTAATGATACTAATTCCAGGACACTTGAAAAGCCTCTGTGGTCCACAAGTCACAGAAGGCTATTGTATAGGTCAGGGGATCAGAGGAGTTTTAGCTCAGGTCCAGCTAACAGTGCATTCAGTGGACACCTCAACCTATTCTGTGGTATTTCCTCAATATTAGAATGAATAATTGAAATAGATACATGCAGCAATAACAAAATACCCATGTTTCCTTGACCTGTAAAGTGAGGGCAATTATGGAGGGAAAGGCCAGGTGAAAGCCATTAGAACAGATTCTACCCTGCAAAAAAGTAAATCAAAAGCAATGCTGCATTCCTGGAGGGACTGCAGAAATTAGTACTACCATCAAGGGCTTGAAAGACTCAAGAGTGTTGATACCACCACATCCCCATTCCACTTACGTTTTTGGCATGTGTACAAAACAGAGAACCTTTTGCAGTAAATCTCTTAATATTTATCTCCTACTTATTCAGTTTCTCTAGTTGAGACCTGACTGATACTGTTTTTAGTACCTGGAATGGGAAACTGCTGTAACAAATACCTGAACATATGGAGGTGGCTTTAGACTACGGTGAGGAGTAGAGAATGGAATAATTTTGTCTACCATCATAGAAACAAAATCAAACTCGTTTACTTGAGCAGACCATTGGTGAAAATATAAATATAAAAGACACCATTGGCAAGGGTTCAGGTAGAAATGAGAGACATGGATAAAAAAAAAAAAAACAAGAACAACAAAAATTCTGTTTCATTTTACAGAGTATCTCTTTAAAAATATTAATTTTATTTTTCTAGCTTCATAGATGTATGAGTGACAAATAAAAGTTGCATATATTTAGACCATAAAACATGCTTTTTTTGACATATGTATACAGCGTGAATTGATAACCATAATAATTAACCTATCCATCACCTCACATGGTTGCCAGCCCCTGGTGATTACTATTTTTATCTCTCTACTAAATTCAACTAAAAAAAATCCACGTATAAGTGGATTATTTTGGCAGTAGCTGTCTTTCTGTGCTTGGCTATTTCACTTCGTGTAATGTCCTCGAGCTTCATTCATGTTGTTGCAAAGGGCAAGATTTCCTTCATTTTAAAGACTGAATAATTTTCCATTGTGCAAATATACACCACATTTTCTTTATCTACTCATCTTTTGACAAATATTTAGGCTATTTACAAGTCTTGGCTATTGTGAATATTGCTGCAATGAACATGGGAATATAAAAATATATTTAAGATAGTGCTTGTATTTCTTTTAGATATATACTCAGAAGTGAGATTGCAGGATCATATAGTAGTTTTATCTTTAATTTTTTGAGATTATCTAAATCATCAAAATAAGATTGTTGGAAGAAAATGAGGTCCATGCCATTGAAAACTGAAAGAAAGGTGATTCTTGTTATATGGTAGCAGAAAACTTAGTTGAATTGCATCCTAAATATATGAGGAAAACAGAACTATTATGCAATGAATCTGGGTATTTAGATGAGACTTCCACATGAAGTATTCAAAAATGTGGTTTTGTTTCTTCTTACTGCTTACAGAAAAAACATCAAGAGTAAAGAGAGTCGTTGATGAAACAACTCTTAAGCAAGAGGGAACCAGGTTTTAAGAGTTGGAATAAATTAAGCCTATTCAGATTGCAAAAGACACTAAGTGTAAAAGATTTATTGTCAGTAAAATGTGCTCTGGAAAGAAAGCTAGTCTTTCGCTAATGCCTCAGAAGTATGCAAATATAAGAATATTCAATCATGCACAGGACCCTTTGAAGAGAAGGACATGTGACAACAGAAACAGGGAGAAAAATAAATGTGATGACAGAAGTAGAGATTGGACGGATGCATGGCCATGAGCCAAATGATGCAGGTTGCTTGTCTAAGCTAGAAAAGAAGAAGACAAATTATCCTCTAGAGCCAAAAAATACCTCACATCTGTCAGCACATTGGTTTTAGCCTATTGAGAATAATTTTGTATTTCTGAACTACAGAACCATAAGATAATAAATTTCTGTTGTTTGTCCTACAAAAGTGTGTGGTAATCTGTTACAACAGAAGTGGGAAGTTAATAAATGACTTATGTGAATTCTGATAATTCAAAACGGGATACTGGAAAAAATGTTATTATGGAAAATAAAAATCTAGTCTGTCTTTCTGTATTCTAAAAGAATAATTTTCCTCCCAATATAGTTTTCCCAATAACATTTTAAAAATATAGATTATAATTTCAATACTCACATTTCCATGAAACATTTAAAAGTAAATTCTACTTTTCTGTATACATTTTTTAAGGATTCATCCTAGAGACAAATAGGAATTTTAACACTATGTTTTAATTGAGAAAATCTATCTATCTATCTATCTATCTATCTATCTATCTATCTATCTGTCTATCTATCTATCTATTTTTTTTCTTTAGAGATGGAGTCTTGCTCTGTTGCCCAGGCTGGTGAGTGTGGTGGTGCAATCTCAGCTCACTGCAGCCTCTGCCTCCTGGGTTCCAGCAATTCTCCTGCCTCAGCCTCCTGGGTAGCTGGGATTACAGGTGCACGCCACCACACCTGGCTATTTTTTGTATTTTTAGTACAGACAGGGTTTCACCATGTTGGCCAGGCTGGTCTCGAACTGCTGACCTCAGGTGATCCGCTTAACTCGGCCTCCCAAAGTGCTGGGGTTACAAGTGTGAGCCACCGTGCCTGGCCGAGAAAATCAATACTAAGTAATAAATAATTAGACCTCAGACAGATAGATAGATAGATAGATAGATAGATAGATAGACAGATGGAGATGGAGTCTTGCTCTGTCGCCTAGCCTGGAGTGCAGTGGTGCTGTCTTGGCACACTGCATTCTCTGCTTCCCGTGTTCAAGTGATTCTCCTGCCTTAGCCTTCTGAGTAGCTGGGACTACAGGCACGTGCCGCCACATTCAGCTAATTTTTCTATTTTTAGTAGAGACAGGGTTTCACCATGTTAGCCAGGATGCTCTCTATCTCTTGACCTCGTGATCCGCCCACCTCGGCCTCCCAAAGTACTGGGATTACAGGCATGAGCCACCACGCCCAGTCGACCTCATATGGTTTTATATCATGGTTTATTCACTAGAAAAGCTGAATAGTTAATACAGATGGAACATTGTCTATCAGATTATATTTTCATGACAAATATATTTGGTTTATGTGTGGCAATATTTAACTTTACTTATCTCTCCTTTTCGGTAAACATTTCTGAAAATAGTCAATAGGTAAACTGTGATTTTAGCACATATACCTGTAGAGAACAAAAATTTGTCTGGTGTATTAGTTTGTTAGGGCCTCCTTAACGAAATACCACAGACTAAGTGGCTTAAAACACAGATTTATTTTCTCACAGCTTTAGAGTCTAGAAGTCTACAATCGAGGTACCAAGTGTTGGTTTCCTCTTAGGCCTCTCTTGGTTTGCAAATGGTTGATATCTTGCTCCTTCTTCACATAGGGGTCTCTGTGTATATACAACACAGTCTTAGTAGCCCTCTGCATGTCCTAGTCTCTGTTTATAAGGACATTCGCAGATAGGGCCACCCTGATTGCCTCATTTTAATTTAATTAGCATTTTAAATTTCCTAGCTCCAAATATAGTCACATTTTGAAGTACAGTTGATCTTTGAACACGACAGATTTGAACTGTGCATGTCCACTTATGTATGGATTTTCTTCTGCTTCTGCTACTCCTAAGATGACAAGACCAACCCCTCCTCTCCCTACTCCTCCTCAGCCTACTCAATGTAAAAGGGATGAAGACCTTATCATGATCCACTTCTACTTACTCAATAGTTAATATATTTTCTTTTCATTATGATTTTCTTAATGACATTTTTCTGTGGTTTACTTTACTGTAAAAATATAGTATATAATATATGTAACATGCAACATATGTGTTAATCAATTGTTTATGGTACTGATAATGCTTCCAATAAACAGTGGGCTACTAGTATTTAAGTTTTGAAGGAGCCAAAGTTATGTGTAAATTTTCAGCTGTGTAGGGGTTGGTGCCTCTAAGGCCTCCCTGGGTTGTTCAATGGTCAACTATACACAGGATTAGGGCTTCAACATATGGATTTGGGCGTGGTGCTCAATTCAGTTTGTAATATATGCTAATGTCTATTAATGTTATAAGATCTATCTTTCAAATCATATTATGAATTCATAGACAAATATACCATGTTTACTCTTTTCTGGCTGTTTTGTAAGAACACTTTTATATCTTAAAATATTGAAATTTTGACATGTAATAAAAGGTATGCAATTTAATAGTTCAGCAGTGACATTCTGCTAAAACAAAATCTTTAAAAATCTAAACATTTAGGCCAGGCGCAGTGGCTCATGCCTGTAATCCCAGCACTTTGGGAGACTGAGGTGGGCAGATCTCCTGAGGTCAGGAGTTTGTGACCAGCCTAGCCAACATGGTGAAACACCGTCTCTACTAAAAATACAAAAATTAGCCGGGCATGGTGGCAGGTGCCTGAAATCCCAGCCACTCAGGAGGCTGAGGCAGGGGAATTGCTTGAACCTGGGAGGTGGAGGTTTCAGTGAGCTGAGATTGGGCCATTGCACTCCAGCCTGGGCGACAAGAGTGAGACTTCCTCTCAAAACAACAACAACAACAACAACAACAACAAAACAACAACACCTAAATATTTAATATAAAAGCAAAAGCACTAAGTGCATTAAGTGTGAAATAAATATAATATAGTATATATTTAATGAGTTTTTAGGTTGGTGCAAACGTAACTGCATCTTTTGCCATCAAAAGCTGCAGTTACGTTTGCACCAGTCTAATATGTTGCTCTTGCAATGTCTTAGGTTACAACTATTGTGGTGGCACATTGGTAAATATATCAATATCATGCATATATATGAACTGGATTATACGTTCCTTAGGATATACATTCAAAGGTGCATTTTAAATCCATCCAAGACCTTAGGTGGCAGAAACTCTTAACTCTCTCCCAATGTCTAATATCCCTACTTTTTTAGTAATAATTTCTTCCTTTTCATCAAATTCCAGCAGAACACACATCTGTTTATCTACAGCGTACAGCTTACATGTTTTTGCTTCCCTAGCATCTTCTTTTCTTCTTTCCTTGTCCCATGGCATGAAAATAAATGTAGAGCAGTGCTTGGAGCCAAATTTCATTTGAAGAATGTAGATAAAACTAGTTATGATGTAACTAGTATGATGTAACTAGTAGAATGTAGATAAAACTAGATATGAAACAAGACAGAAGGAACCAGGATCTGTTAATGAAAAAGGAAGTGGAACCACCTTCCTATTCTGGTATATTTGTCTATTTCTGAATTGACGCATAAGAGAAGAACAACTTTCAATTAATTTAAACCAATTGTGGGGTCTCAATTTTATTTCAGCTTGGTAAATATATCATCAATTATTCTTACTGTTTCTACTGCAAAATAGGAAAAAAAAGAAGAGTCTTTCCACAAGATTCCCATCAACTTATCTACCAATCCACTTGTAACTGAACCCATATACTCCACCTTATCTCCAAAATTATGAATAAATTTTCTAACACTAACATTTTTTATGTGCACTAGATTTTATCCATGTGATCTGCCAGAGACCATTGTTACAGAAATCATATAGATGCAGATGCTTTTGCATTATAAATTTCATCACCATTGAAAAATCCTCAGCAATATTCAATTGTTATAATGCCTATCAATTACAAAAAAAAACAGAAAACTTTTTCACTGCTCTCCAGATACCATGCATTTGTATTCTCCCCTTCTTTATTTTTCTTTCTTTCTTTTTCTTTCTTTCTTTCTTTCTTTCTTTCTTTCTTTCTTTCTTTCTTTCTATCTTTCTTTCTTTCTTTCTTTCTTTCTTTTTCTTTTTTTTTTTTTTTTTTGTATATACTCTGACTTAGTTCTGGCTGCTATAACAAAATACCATAGACGTAGTAACTTATATACAAACAACATAAATTTATTTCTCAAAGTTCTAGGGTCTGGGAATTTCAAGATCAAGTCTTTGGCAGATTTGATGTCTGGTAAGGTTATGCTTCCTTGTATGTAGATGGCCAAGTTCTCCCTGTGTCGTCTCCTGGTGGAAAGTATGAGATAGACCTCTGAGTTGTCTATTATAAGTGTACTAATCCCATCCCTGAGGGCTCTGTTCTTATTTGCTAACCAGGTCCCAGAAGACCAACCTCCAAATACCATCACATTTGGGTCAGAATTTCAATAAATACATTTTGATAAGGAAAGGGGGCACCAATTTCTATGGTTCTCTATTTACACCAAATTTATAATGGTGTAAATATATACTCACTCCAATCCATTCTCTCTCTGCACATGCAGATATATATAAAAATATGCATATATACACACACACACACACACACACACACAGAGTAATATATCAAAGCAACTTAGCAACATATATACACATGCTTATTTCTGAGTGCCCCTGACATCTAGCGGCTTAGTGGTTTCTTGGATCTTTTCTAATGTGTCATGAGCCAAAGCAACATAAGCTGGGCCATAGCAACACAAATGGTGAGTAACAAAATAGAAAATTCTCCCTTACTGGAAAAAGTTAGATATTCTTAATCATTTGTGACTAAAAATTTTGCATTAGTGAATTGCCCTCCATAATGCCTTTGAAAAGGCAGTGTTAGTTATGTTGCTTCTAAAATAGAGAATGGATCAGAAAAAGAAGCATTCTCACTGATCATTTTATAGATATAATCTGTTTATTGAGCATTTAAGCATGCATTTCAGGTAATACTAGATGAATACATAGAAGATTCTTTAAATAAAATGTAAATGTTTATCCAACTCATATAGGTTATTTTAATATAAATATCAAAGTAATACTTCATTTAAAAAGGAGCAAATTCAGAAATAGTAAAAACCAGAAAGGAATCTGGGAAAACAGGGACAGATTAAGGCTATTCTGGGTAATCCAAAATATGGTATCATGAAGAATAGACATAGAACTAAAGGAGCACACAAGAGAAAACGTTACTGAAGTTTAATGGAGGACATGGAAGGATTTTCTGGCAAGTCAAGCATTTTTAATTTCATCATTAGACTATGGATAGTTAAAGCATGAAAATGTAAAATTAGATTGGAATTTAGAGCATAACTTCTAAAACTGGCATTTTAGAAGCATGTGTGTGTGTGTATATATGTGTGTGTATATATATATGTTGCTATGTGTGTGTCTATATATGTGTGTGTGTATATATATATGTTGCTGTGTGTGTATATATGTGTGTGTATATATATATTTTGCTATGTGTGTGTGTATATATGTGTGTATATATATATGTTGCTATGTGTGTGTGTATATATATGTGTGTGTGTGTGTATATATATATGTATGTTTCTATGGCCCAGCTTATGTTGCTTTGATATGTTACTATATATATGTGTTATTATATATATACACACATATATACATATATATGTATATATGTGTGTATATATGTATATATACACACATATATACATATATATGTATATA
The DNA here is from genome assembly GCF_000001405.40 of Homo sapiens. Taxonomy (NCBI): domain Eukaryota; kingdom Metazoa; phylum Chordata; class Mammalia; order Primates; family Hominidae; genus Homo; species Homo sapiens. The sequence continues at coordinate 24,074,526 of NC_000005.10, read as the reverse complement.
TATGTGTATATATGTATATATACACACATATACATATACACATATACATATACATACATATATACATCTACATATATATGCATATATAGATGTATATACATATATACACACATATATACATATATGCATACATATACAGATATATACACACATATATACATATACATACATACATATATACATATATACATATATACATACATATATACATATATACACACATATACATATACACACATATATATACACACATATATACATATACATATATATGCACATATACATATACATATATATACACACACATATATACATATATATATATATACCAGAGGGAGAGAATGGATTGGAGTATTTGCAGAGTAATAAAAGAACAATGAGGGAATTATAACTATTTTAGAACAATTATAACTATTTTAGAAAAATGATATCAGAGGAGAGAATAATACAAGAGGGTGGCAATAAGGATGTAGTAATAGAATTTTATTCAACCAAAATTTAGAATAATTAGACAAATGTAATTATCAAACTCTTAGTATTATGCCACCTTTAAAATAATCTCAGTTTTAAGGCAACTTTTAATTTAATCAATATGGCATAAAAAATTCCAGCTTAATTCTTACCCAAAGAATTAAGATCCAACTGCTGTTCAGAGCCTTTTTAGTGACTGTTAATGTTTGAAATGTTTTAACAACAAAACTTAACTATCAATTATTAACAGTAACTTTTAAAAATCCAGTTTATAATAATCCCAAAATCCCAGTAAAATACATATATTCTGGAAGGTTTTGTTTCAAATGAGATTGTCTAAGATTCAAAGTAGTGCTTTAAAGACTTTCATATAGAAAGTAGGCTGGCCTAAGCCCTTAGAAAGCCTGACATTTTTACACTACTCCTTTCTGGCAACCACTGTCTATTTGGAAGTAGAGTAATTTTAATTCATTTACTTTTTTCAACTTGATATTTTTCAGTACTACGCATATGGAAATTTAACCCTTCCTGTGAAACAGATTTACTGTGCTCTGCTTACCAACATGTCTGAATCAGGCGAGACAGAAGACTCAAACACACAAGTTACATGAGGCAGGTTTATTACTTACAGATAAATAGAGAGGGACAACAAAAGTCTGGGATTCCTTCCAAGCTATTCCGCAAAGGGTCAAGAAAGCTTCCTGGCATAGATGTAATCTCATCTATGTTTGTCCTGCTTATACTGATTCTGAGGTACCTGGAAAAGCAGCCTGCCCTGAGTTTTATATCCTGAGGTAACAACTCTCTGGGATAAAGCACTGGCAAGGACACCCTTCTCTGCTACAGGATATCCCTGAACTAGAGCTTGGGCTGTCTGGCCAGCTTCCCCTTATTTTAAGATGTTTTATTCTCAGCACATCCTACAGTCATCCGTGGGAACTACGGAAAGGAAGGTGGGGGCAACTGGGTTGGTTCAAGGCTATACAAAGAACTGTAATGTACTTTCCTTCCTGGAGTTAGCACATAAATATACATTTTTTCCCTGTATAATCTACTAGAGAGTATTTACAGTAGCTTGCAGGAATGCTAGAGTAAGAATAGATAGGAAAGAAACAAATGTCAGAAAGTTTATAAATGATAAAGTAATTAACACCTGCTGTACCTACAATTGTTTTAGGCTGTAATTCATAGAGTTTCTGTGATATCAGTTTTTTTCATAAGCTTATTGAATCAAAGTCCACTCACTAAAAGCTGAAGTCAATCTTTATCTGCATTATTCCATAGCTTAGAAACTGAAGAATATACTTGTGCTAGACATCTAGGAATTATCAACTCCTCTTCTGTGGTCATCCTCCCTTAGCCGAGGAAAAATCACCACCCATCTTCTACTGTCTTGATATTGTCACATTGATTCATTTCTCTCTAGCCATTAGTATTTCAGTTCCTGAGTATCCACAGTTCCTTATCCTAATTACTGATAATAGTTTCTCCAAATGGTCAGGATTCCCCACAGTAGTAGATAAGGTTATCAATGTAAATTTTGTCTCGCCTCTAATCTACTTGAACTGTTCAGTGGCCTTGCATTCTCTAGAACTAGAAATACCGTTTGACCCAGCCATCCCATTACTGGGTATATACCCAAAGGATTATAAATCATGCTGCTATAAAGACACATGCACACGCATGTTTATTGTGGCACTATTCACAATAGCGAAGACTTGGAACCAACCCAAATGTCCGACAATGATAGACTGGATTAAGAAAATGTGGCACATAAACACCATGGAATACTATGCAGCCACAAAAATGATGAGTTCATGTCCTTTGTAGGGACATGGATGAAGCTGGAAACCATCATTTTCAGCAAACTATCACAAGGACAAAAAACCAAACACCGCATGTTCTCTCTCATAGGTGGGAATTGAACAATGAGAACACATGGACACAGGAAGGGGAACATCACACACTGGGGCCTGTTGTGGGGTGGGGGGAGAGGGGAGGGATAGCATCAGGGATATACCTAATGTTAAATGACGAGTTAATGGGTGCAGCACACCAACATGGCACATGTATACATATGTAACAAACCTGCACGTTGTGCACATGTACCCTAAAACTTAACGTATAATTAAAAAAAGAAAAAAATATATAATTCAAAATCCTTACAAAAAATGTCAACATCTGACTCTTTAGGCAGTTGCTTGCTGACCTCCATCTCCTTGTTCATTACTCCAGCTTCATAGCCTTAACTTGGTTGCTCAAACAGGCAAAATTTATTACTGTCTCAGAGCGTTCAAATATCATCTTTTCTGTAGACCTTGAATAAAATTGTAGAAAATCTATTCATGCCCAGAAAAGTCTATCTTGACCTCAGATTAAGTTTTATTTCCTCAGGAAATGTATTTGTCAACTAGTGAACACTTTAGAAACAACAATGATATACTCATATTAGTCCAATGTGGAACATAAAAGTCTCTGAATGAAAATCGTCAGTAAAATGAAGGAATCAAACTTAGTGAATCTAATAAAGATACACTGATATTTGTTTTCTCTGTTTGGAAGAGGCAGCTGTGTTCTGCCATTGGAGACATACTGGCTCTTTTTTCCTTTTTCTTTTTTTTAAAACAAACATAGAGATATGAAAAAGCTCATGGAAGAATGGGAAGAATACACAAACAAGATTGAACACATGGGTTTTCTAGATCAGTTATTGGTGGTAAAATATGTTCAGTGGCATTGTGATAACTGTTTAGGGAAAAAATTCACTGTTATTCCCTAAAGTTATTGCATTTGCTTAGATGAAAGTAGTGCCCAGAGCAGCCATCCTGAGTAAAGCCTGGATTCCAACATTGTGCAGATGTCTATTTAGCAGTCTTGCTGCCCCACAGGATGGATGTTTTGTTAACTAAAGGCACAAGGGATGCACTAAGTTCAGATTAAGGCAAAGTCTAAATTTCTCTGTCTCTCTCTGTATACATGCATATGTGTTATTGTTACAATGAGTGAATGTCTAATGATTGTACATGGATAGTAAAAATAATCCTGCTGTTGTATTAACAAATATTTCTGCATAATGTAAGCAAATTTGATTCAGAAAGCAGAACAATATTGTGTTTACAAATAATTTATGGCCTATTAATATATTAGAGTTTACTAAATTGGAAGTGATACACAGAAAGATCAATCACCTGAGATTATCAGTACATTTTTAACATATGTTCATTCTTTTTTCTTGAATAATGTTGATTTCACTGTTTAAATATAATAAAATAACCTTGTTTCCTGAGTTGCACAGGAAATTAGTCATTTGTGTTTAATTCAGTATTCATCTAACACTCAGCTAATGAGATACACAGCATGAGCCATATGTAGTTTTTTTTTTTTTTTTTTTTTTTGAGATGGAGTCTCGCTCTTTTGCCCGGGCTGAAGTGAAATGGTGCCATCTCGGCTCACTGCAAACTCTGCCCTTCAGGCTCAAGCGATTCTCCTGCCTCAGCCTCCTGAGTAGGTGGGATTATAGACGCCTGCCACCATGCCTGGCTAATTTCGCATTTTTAGTAGAGACAGGGTTTCACCATGTTGACCAGGCCAATCTCAAACCCCTGACCTCAGGCGATCCACCTGCCTTGGTCTCCCAAAGTGCTAGGATTACATGTGTGAGCCACCGCGCCGGGCCGCATGTAGATTTTATATCCACAAATATTTGATATTTTATAGAATATATGGTAAGATTTTAGGTGTTAGTTTTTAATGTTTCAGGTGTACCCTAAAAGAAGGTTACCTACAAAAAGAAAATTATTAACATAGGATTATTACACTTACCAAAAGCAAGTCATTGTAAAAGAGCTTCTACAAAGATTGCTTACAATACTGTATTTTATGAGAATCAAAAGAAAAAAATAGAAATCACATAAACTCTCAGCATGGTGTGTCATAAAAACATTCCCTCAGACAACTAATTGTTTTATTGTTTTGGTTTTTACATTCTCACAAAATGAAAATAAAAAATAGCTACAGAAAAATAGTATGGGCTGAAAATGGTCTAATACTAACATGCAAAATAGGAAGTGTGATAGTTAATATTGAGTGTCAACTTGATTGGATTGAAGGATGCAGAATATTGTTCCTAGGTGCGTCTGTTGCCAAAGGAGATTAACATCTAAGTCAGTGGACTGGGAGAGGCAGACCAACCCTCAATCTGGGTGGGTACCATCCAATCAGCTGCCAGTGTGCCTAGGGTGAAAGCAGGCAGAAGAACATGGAGGTGTTATGGGCGGATCTTTATTCTTAGAGCTCCCAAGATGGTGGCGGGCCACTCCCAAGATGGTTGTGGGCTGCTCCCATGATGAGGTAAGCTGCTCCCAAGATGGCGGCAAGCCTTTTGTTCTCTGACCTGGGGTTCTTGGTCTCACAGATTCCAAGGAATGGAACCTTAGGCCATGCGGTGAGTGTTATAGTTCTATTAGAAGCTGTGGGTCACGGAAGAGAACCATGGAACCCAACGACTAGTGTTTAGCTTAGGACGAACCCGAGCACTTAGCAGTGCAGGAACAATGGTGAGCCTCTAGTCTGAACAGAAGCAGCAATGGGTGCCTTCCTGGATCGGAAACACAGTGGACACACTGCCAGATCCAGAGGGGTGGAAGTCAGTGGCAGGTCTGTGATGGTGGCAAACAGCAGTGGTGGACGGCGAGTGAAAGCTCAGCTTGAGCCGTAACAAACATGGACCAGAAGAGTATGAAGTTGCAAGATTTAATAGAGTGAAAACAGAGCTCCCATACAATGGGAGGGGACCCAAAGGGGGTTGCCTCACAGAAGGGTTTCCCACTCCCAGCTCCAATGCCTGGGGTTTATATCCCAATCATTGTCCCTCCCCCTGTGCTCTCAGATGATAGATGACTTGACTATTTCTTTACCTCCTGCTTTTAGCCTAATTTGTATTTTAGTGAGCCCTCTTTACTACCTGATTGGTTGGGTGTGAGCTGAGTTACAAGCCCCATGTTTGAAGGTGGGTGCAGTCACCTTCTCAGCTAGGGTTAGGAATTCTTAGTCAGCCTAGGAAATTCAGTATGTCCTGTCTCTCAGAAGGGCTAAACTGGCTAAGTCTTCTGGCCTCCATCTTTCTCCCATCCTGAATGCTTCCTGTCCTCAAACATCAAACTCCAAGTTCTTCATCTTTTGGAATCTTGAACTTACATCAGTGATTTGTCAGGGGCTTTTGGGCCTTCAGCCACAGAATGAAAGCTACACTATCAGTTTCCCTACTCTTGAGGTTTTGGAACTCAGACTGGCTTCCTGGCTCCTCAGCCTGCAGACGGCCTTTTGTGGGACTTCACCTTATAATTGTGTGAGTCAATCCTCCTAATAAACTCCCCTTTATATAGTCATCTATCCTATTCATTCTGTCCCCTTAGCGAACCCTGACTAATACAGGAAATTAGTTGATATACGTAATATTATCTTACATATTTCAGGATATATCCAATATTGATCACTTTCATTAGTGATCATTCCCAATATTTTGTTTATATTGCAATGCAGAGACGATGACCACTTTATTCAGAAATAGCTGGTTTTAAACCCCAGCTCTATGTGACCTTGTCCTTTTAATCATATAGCCTTGGGTTCTAATTTTTTCCTCTATAAAATGCAGAAATACTACCCACACCATGGTTAGGGCATCAGAGGCAATGATATATTATTATTAGCACATACTATAGTTTTATGTCATTATTGTTGCTAATTATAGAAATATGGATATAATCAATGTTTTTTGAAATCTGTAAATATACTTTTTACTTATATATTTTATTTTATGTAACTTTCTCCTAGTTAACCATAAGTATTCAGCAAATTTAGTTTTTAACTGCAGGGATACAAAGAGGAATGACAGAATCAATATGTAGATTTGATGAAGTCGAATTTTTGACTATATAAGCAAATCACAGTTCTGACATTCAAGATTAAGACTGAAAATGTAATTCAATAATTTCGAATCAATACTTAGTCCTGGTTTACTGGATTAGTGTGATGCTTTTGCAAAAACATGGTTAGGAAGTGATTAGTATGAAACATTAAAAAAAAAACTCTTCCTTAAACACAAGATGGAGAATTCATTCTGTTTTTTATCTGGTGAGTTTAGAAAGGCATATGAAGATGTGACTTACAGTCCTTGAAGTAACCCCTGTGATTCCTATCTCTTAATAATCACAAACTTGTACATCAACTACTTGTTGAATGTGGGAAGGATTTGTAATTTTATTTTAATCAATAGAATATTGTAAACATAGTAAGATGTCACTCCTGTGATTATGTTACCATACATTGGACTTCATGTAACACACCGACACATTTTGCAGACTCTCCTTGCAGACTTACTTAAGTCAGTAGCCCTGTTGGTGAAGTTCATGTAACAAGGAACCGCAAGCAGCCACTAGGAATGTTACCGCTAGCATCTGAGGGTGGTCTGCAGCCAAAAGCCGGTAAGAAGCTGAGACTCTCAGTCATCATCGCACAAAGAAATTAATCCTGTCAGCTATTTGAAAGAGTTCAAGGGGATTCTTCCTCAGTCCATCCTTAACATGAGAATGAAACTCAGGTGAAACCTTGACTGCAGACTTTTGAGACCCTGAGAGAAGAACCAATTAAGCTGTGCCCAGATGGCCAACCCACAGAAACTATAAGACAGCAAATCTATGTTGTTCTAAGCCACTAGTCTAAGCCTGTGGTAATTTGTTATGCTGCATAGAAAGCAAAACAATGGAGAAGAAAGGAAACTGTGACCCTCATATAATTCTGGATGATTATCCTGGTCATGTGGAAAAACAAAAACAAAAACAAACAAACAAAAAAAACAGGCTGACTTCAAGGAGAATATGAAGGTTTTTTAAAAGCTAGTATAGGGTCAACAACTAAAGATGTATCACCTATGTCTGGACAACCCAAGAACATAAAACACACAAGTAGATTTCACCAGATGACAAGGGCTCAGCCCCAGACTGAATACTACAGAAAATTTAGTGCAGTTTCTGTAATTGAGGGCCCCTCTGCCACCTCCATGTGTTCACTCCACTCCTGTTGTAGAAAAATTCAAAATTTTAATTCGATCTCATTGGCAATACATATCAGGACCCTGGATAATGTCCATAAAAACACTTTGATCATCATTACATAGTGATTTAAGGACAACGGCTCTGGTACCACATAACCTGGGTATGATTCTTATGTTTTCCATGTTCAAAAAGTATGACCAAGATTGAACAAACTTCTCTAACTTAACTTCCTCATCTCTCCATTGAGGAATATCAGTATTCCCTCCTGCCTAGGGATTTGTTAAAAATTAAAGTTGATAAATATAAAATATAAATCATTCTATTACAAAGACACATGCACATGTATGTTCATAGCAACACTATTCACAATAAAAAAGACATAAAATCAACCCAAATGCCCATCAATGATAAAATGGATACATATTCACCATGAATATGATAAAATGTTGTACATATTCACCATGAAATACTATGCAGTCATAAAAAGAATAAGATCATGCTCTTTGCAAGGAGATGAATGGAGCTGGAGGCCATTATACTTAGCAAACTAACATAAGAACAGAAAACCAAATACTACATGTTCTCATATAGAAGTGGGAGCTACAGGATGAGAACACATAGATACATAGAGGGGAGCAACACACACCAGGGCCTATTGGAGAGTGGAAGGCAGGAGGAGGGAGAGGAGCAGGAAAAATAATAAATGGGTACTAGACTTAATATCTGCATGATGAAATAATCTGTACAACGAACCCCCATGACACAAGTTTACCTATGAAACAAACCTGCACATGTACCCTTGAACTTAAAAGTTAAAAATATCAAAAATAAAATAAAATAAAAACATCTAGAACACAAGTTGACATATGAATAGAATAGGTGGATTATAGAACTGATATGTTGTCCAAATTGAGACATCTTGAGAGAGAAAGGGGAGCACTATTCATAACTCTCTTGCGTCAGTTAAGAATTGAGACTGCCCTAGGCAAAATGATTCATATATTCACCTAATTATGAGTTACACATGTGTTTTGTAGTATTAGTCTTCTATGAGTCAACCTTTATTTCACACGTACAGTCAGTAAATTGAGGGGTTCCTTAGTACTGGACACGGTTAATGTGCTGGTAATTAAACAGTTTTCAAAACATAGCCCTCTGCTTTGGGTACAGGATGGCGTCAGGCTTCAACAATTGCACAAACTATTTAGTTACAATGTGATACATTTACAAAGAGTTTTTTTAATTTGCTGACTTAATTTTTAATTTTTAAATTTGGTGGTTAGCAGGTTATTTTTATTTTGTATGTTTCTACAGTTTTACCATCTCTAACCCAAAAAAGAAGTGATTTTGTTATTTTCAGTAAGACATTTCTTCTACAAACCTCAGAGATGTTATTTAAGGTAATCTGCTTATTATTAACTACGGCAGGAGGAAATAAGATCATGCATAATGATTAGGAGCACAAAAAATTATATACGCCACAAAAATGAGTAAAATAAAATTAATAACCTCATATTCAATAGCAATTTAAAGCTGTAGGTTTTGTAATCATAAGATGTAATGCTTTTAGATAATGTGTGCTTGACATATTACAATAAATCAAATGCTAATTAATGGGAAACTGTATGTCATGTTGCAGAAAATACAGCTTTTTAAAAAGGATTATAGTTTGTTCATTTTTAAGTCACAAATAGTAAAGTATTGATTTCAATATGTGGTAAAAGAAAATCTGATTAAAAGGCAAGTTATTTATTAGTGTTAATGAAATATGAAATCATTTACTTGTACATGAATTTATTTTTTAATATTTTAAGTATAAATAGTGTAATTAAGAATGCCCTGATATGGTGAAACCCCGTCTCTACTAAAAATACAAAAAATTAGCTGGGCGTGGTGGTGGGCGCCTGTAGTCCCAGCTACTTGGGAGGCTGAGGCAGGAGAATGGCGTGAACCTGGGAGGTGGAGCTTGCAGTGAGCGGAGACTGCGCCACTGCACTCCAGCCTGGGTGACAGAGCGAGACTCCATCTCACAAACAAAAAACAACAACAACAAAAAAGAATGCACTGATAATATTTGACATAAATTTGTAATGACCTTATGATATTTAAGAATTAAAGAACATTATCTTTTATTTGTCAAGTTAGGCAATATAAAAATAAATTTACACAAAATATAATCTGCTGAATTAATTTTATCTATTTCTTTTGAAATATTTTGTATATGCATGGTACAGATCTCTACTAGTAGTCATAGAATGGGACATATTCCATATTATTAAATTTGCTATATAAACATTTGTGACAGTTTTTAAGAGAACTTCATAGATAAACAGTAGTTGATAGCAAATCTAGCAGCCTAGTATTAACCATAGTCCTAATGTTAACTCTTGTCCTTAAAAAAGGACTTCTTCAAGCTAGATGCAGTGTCTCATGCCTGCAATCTCAGCACTTTGGGAGGCCGAAGTGGGTGGATCATTGGAGTCCAGGAGTTTGAGAACAGTCTGGGCAACATGGCCAAACACCGTCTTTATGGTGTAAATTTGTAATTTTGAAAATAGAAAATTAGCCAGGAGTGGTGGTGCACATCTGTGGACCCAGCTACTTGGGATATATATATGTGTGTGTGTGTGTGTGTGTGTGTGTGTGTGTGTGTGTGTGTACATATACACATATATATGTACACACACACACATATATATATGTATGTATGTATCTTGGTTGAGAGGTCAAAAATATCTAGCGCTATAAGGAAAAATGTGTGCAAATGCATGGGTTTGTGTGTGTGTGCGTGTGTATGTGTGTGTTGAGTGAGGAGTATGAAGTAGAAGGGTTAAGGGAGAAGAATAAGCTGTAATTGAGGAATTTATGTATTCTTTTTATTCTGAAGCTTATTATAAGTGCATAGACAATGAACAGACATAAGAAATGAACAGGGTAAACATAACTGAAAAACTCACTGGAATTTTCTACTGGGAAAGAATGACTATGTGGAATCTGCCATAGCTGTATTCTTTCACTGACTGACTCCTGCCCATCAAGAATAGAAAATAGCAACTTCTCTGTCTTGCTAGAAAAGTTTGGGGACAGTACTAGGCCCTCCTAAGATTGCTTATCTTGGAACTCCTATTAAATCAAAACCAGAGCCTTACTCTCCAAACTATATCCCTATATTTTGCTCAAAAAATATAACAGCATTTCATTGTTCTTAATTTATTGAGCTCTTAAATCTAAGAATTCTCCCCAGGTTGTATTTCTGATTTCCTATAAGACATGGAAAAGTCATTTACTCTTCTGTGCACTTCAGCCACACTATTTGTCAGGAGGAGGAGTATATGTCTGTCTCCCTCTGGTACTTGGATTAATTTATATTAGTACAGAATTTTTCATATTTCATAAAAATACTAAGCTTTTATTTCACCTTCATGTACTTCCTGCCAATTGCTTCCCCTGTTTTATTTTGTAGTAACATTTTAACATCAGTGCCATTGTGATCTCTGAAGAAACAGCCTTCAGGGCTGTATATCTCTAGATTACCTTCTTTTGTTTTGCTTTTACAGTCAGCAAATGTGATTGAATGTGTAGATTTTAGACATTGTGTATATGGGAAAAGGCAAAATGTTATATGTTTATTATTTTCAAATGACTAGGCTTACATACTACAATGAGACATGTCTGATAATCTTAGAATTTTACTTGATGAACAACAAAGCACAATACCTCAGAATATTTTGCTACTAGAAATTAATATATTTTTAAAATCCAAAGTGGGATATATATGACATATACATGTGCTATTTCATTGTTTCTATAGTCACTTTATTTTATTTTTTGTTATATGTTGACAAATTATACTCATATATATGGGGGTACACAGTGATATTATGATTTTTAATACAATGTAGAATGATCAAGCCAGTTCACCTATTAGTTACCTCAGATATTTGGCATTTTTGGTGATAAAAACATCTGAGATTTACTCTCTTAGTGATGCTGAAATGTACAATATTTGACTATTAGTTATATTCACCATATTGGGCAATAGAATCCTGAAAACATCATCAATTATTGTAACTTGGGACACCATTATTAGCCCATAATTTGGAAAATAAGTTATAAGCCAATGTATTTGTGAGCCAAAATAATAATACGATTTCACACAAACAATCCCAAACAGTATTTTACCTGAAGTTATAAAAATATACATAAAAATTTTTTTCTGATAGCAGAAAGATATTTCTATGTATTATTTCTGCTATATGGCCACACTGGTAACATTTGTTTACTAACAGGATGATAAGATAGTGTTTACTGTTTGTTAACTGTTAACTCAGAAGTTATTCCCTAAATCATAGAATTCTTACTTTTCTGTTATTATTTTCATTGAAGTTAAGACTTTTCATAAAATACTTACAATTCCAAAATGCGGGAGTAATGTATACATTGGGCATTTGATATAGCGTACATTATTTTAATGATAAACTATTTTATAGTTTTATTCATAGTTATATTTCAAAACAATTGTTATCAAAAACAAAAATAATGATAATATGATGAAACAGTTTTCAAAATAGATTATCTATTTCTTGGTCTAGAACAAATTTCAAACCATATCTAACAAATTAAACCTAAGCAAATTATCTTGGCTTCTAGTATATGATATAACAAAGGGGACTGATAAAACCCAATATCAAAAAAATTATAAAAGGAATGAGTGTATATTCCTGACTGGCACAAACTTGTTTAATAGAGTATTAAAAAATGGGTAACATTAACAAAGAGTTTCTAAACTATAAATCATAAGTCATAAATCATAAAATATCAAGATTCAACAAATTAAACTATAAAATAAATTTCATGAAAAGGTTGACAATATAATAGCAAAAAAAGCAGCATACTGAAAAGGGATGTAAATACTGATAACGAATGAACAGATTAAATGAATGAGGATTTGGGGACATAATTATTAAGTCATTTGTCTCTATATGCTATTAGTGTTTTCTTCTTTTACTTAATTCAAACCTACCTTCTAGAATCCTATTTTTACCACAGATGTTTACATGGAAAATAGATGAACTCTTCTTTAGTTCTCTTAAATGAAAGTGAACTCTGCTTTCAGTTTGCTTGTATTCTCTCATATCCTGTTTAGTCAGATCCCTGAGAAGTTATAAGATCTCATGTGTTAATGACACTTACTCCCAATTTTGTCATCAGTCACGCAAAAAAATGTCATCTTTCATTATCCATACCACCTGCATCCTATATTCCTAATAGGTGGTTTTCAAATATATTTACCATTTCATGATTAGTTAAGTCTTTGTTCACTTTGAAAGACCATATTCTCCCCCACTTCGCTGTGTGCCCCATTAACATTTTAGGGACAATAGTCCAATTTTTTCTAATAATATTCCCAACAAAATTCCCTTACCTCTTATTCCACACATGTTGCTTCCACATTAATCTTAAGTCATTTCCCTTAAATTCAGTTTTCTACATGTAGGTTCTGGGGTGTGTCATAGACTGAAACTGGTCAATTCTGGAGTACACACTCCAAATCACTTCTTTCAAATATAGTTATACTGGTTATTATTTTTCCATACTTGGTGTCATTAAATTTGATCTTCATTCAAATAGAAATTTCTGGCCCTCTTTTTCCCCTAAATTTTAGCTTTTTCCTTAGTTTCTCTTCTCTGTGTATGTTAGTCTACAGTCTCAGATATCTCATGTCTTGCATTCTAAATGCGTGTTTAAGTCACCCAATTCCTTGATTCAATATTTGCATGATACCATGAAACTGCATATTTAAATCTTCTAAATTCAGTTTGATATTCAACACCTTAATTAATCCATTGACGTGTCCCTAGTCAGTCACCTTTCTACCCTTTTCATCAAACACAGACATAAACACATGCACTTGTCCTATATATGTGTATCTGTCTGCATGCCTCTATATTGGTCTATCTCATGAGTGCTTACTCAGCTATGTACTCAGCTATGCACTGAGTACTTTTTTTTTTTTTTTTTTTTTTTTTTTTTGAGATGGAGTCTTGCTCCGTCTCCCAGGCTGGAGTGCAATGGCATGATCTCGGCTCACTGCATCCTCTGCCTTCTGGGTTCAAGAGATTCTCCTGCCTCTCAGCCTCCTGAGTAGCTGGGATTACAGGCACCCCTCACCATGTCCGGCTAACTTTTGTATATTTTAGTAGAGACGGGGTTGCTCAGGCTGGTCTCCAACTCCTGACCTCAGGTGATCCACCTGCCTTGTGCTGGGATTACAGGCATGAGCCACTACGACCAGCCTGTACTGTGCAGTGGCGTGATCTCGGCTCACTGCAAACTCCGCCTCCAGGGTTCACATGATTCTCCTCCCGAGTAGCTGGGATTACAGGCGCCCGCCATCGCGCCAGGCTAATTTCTGTATTTTTAGTAGAGACGGGGTTTCACCATGCTGGCCAGGCTGGTCTCGAATTCCTGACCTCGTGATCCACCCGCCTCGATCTCCCAAAGTGCTGGGATTACAGGCATGAGCCACTGTGCCCGGCCCCAGGTTCTTTTTATGTTTTTAGTTCTAGGCAATTTGAATGCCTGACTGAACAAAGAAAACAAAAATCTTGTGCTCCAGGACCTTGCAATATGATTTAGGTAGACAGACATTGAAGAGTAAGTATAATAGTCAAATATACAGAAAGTTATAAGATGATAAATACCATTAAACAGAACAAAAATTGGATGAGAAGATCAGTAGTGCTCAAAGAAGTGGGGATTGGGCATTGCAATTATGGTAGCAAGATGTTCTCCGTTGAAAGGGTGATACCTGAGCAATTTTTCCTATAGAGAAAGAAGGTAGAGAGGAATATGTAAGTACATATAGGAAAAGGACATTTCCAAAAGTCATAGCATTCTGTGCAGTCGTCTTAAGACAGTGTCATGCCTGAGATATACAAAACCAGTGTGACTGGGGTGCAGTACTAAAAATGAAAAAAAATAAAAATAAAAAATAAGAGAATAACCAGGAAGTAAATGGAGGCCAGAACTTATAGGGTGACACATAGGCCACCATGAGAACTTTGGCTGTTACTCTGGATAAGATGGGAAGTGAATCACTCAGGATTTCGTTAGGAAAACATAAGCCATCTGTATACTGGAAATAGAAAAGCATATGATGCAGGTAATGGGATGCTTAAATATGGGGAAGTCCAGGAACCAAAGTCTACATTTTCCAATTAGGGACACCCTTAGTAGAGCTGTAATGCTTCAGTCTACGTTCAGTATTTGTATCCTATATTTAACGATTCATAAAACTAGCTCACATTTTGTTTTGTTTTGTTTTGTTTTGTTTTAGGTACAATGGTCATGCAGAGAGAACTCCCCATGAGGCTGTAAGTGTGGGGTGAGGAATAGGTAGCAATGAAGAACAAGTGAGGGCCATGGCCATTTAAGCCACTTGACTGAGCCCTAGATAGAATCTGCTAGAACGCAACTTCATATACACCATTTCCAACTTACTATGGATTTTAGTGTCACTACCCAATGTTATGACTCAGTGGATCAGATACCTAGTTCATCAAGGACTGTTGAGGTACACCTGTTCCCTTGGTTCCAAAATTATTAGGTGTTCAGGCCCAACCAGGATGCAACGTCAAGTTATGCACTTTTTTTTTCATTTCTAAGAGACTGGATTACAATTTTTCTGTTGGGTTTACCAGAGCTCCCATACTACATTTGGAGCTGCCAGAAACTGTTGAAGTGCAATTGTTTCTGAGAAGTTAGGAGGCACAATTGGTGGTGTGACTCACACTGTAGGCTTTTCAGCAAATACTTGAGGCTGTGATTCCCACTCACCACTGGTAGCCTCGTGGGCTTTCTCAGTAAGTAGTTCAGAGTAACACACACATATATGGTAAATGTTACCTCCATAAATCTAAACAGCTCAGCAATTATTGAGCTTCCTTCTGAGGCATCAGGTCCCTTAATTTTCTCTGGGATTTTATTCCACCTTTTGGCCAATATATTGTCTTAATAAGTTATAAGAGCATTTGCTGCTTCCTGCTTATAAGCTCCAATCGTCATATCACTAACTCAATTCTGCAGCAAGATATATCAAGATAATAGAGTGCCTTATTAAGACAGGGATCTGTAGAACTGTGTTAACCCTGAGCTTAGGTAATACAGCAGTATGGTCATCCTTTCAATATAAGAGCACATAGATTGTGATGACATTTCCTATTTGATAAAAGAGAAATCAAAGCATTTGTACAACAGGATCCAAAGGCTTGGTTAGTTAGCTTCTGTAAAGATAAAACAACTAGAAAAGCAGGTGTAATTGAAGTCAACACATGATAAAAAATAACCATAATATACATTTATTCATCATTATCTGTTTTTTCACAGAGGTCAAATAGGGAAATTCAAAGAGGAAGTGATGGAAAAGACATCTCCACATTTTTTAGGTCTTTGAGTGTGGCAATAGTATCTGAAATCTGTCAGCTACAGTATATTACTTTTGGTTTATTATTTTGTTAGGAAATAAAAGTTCCAGGGGCTTCTACTTTCTCCTTTTTACTTTAATAAATCCCTATCTGCGGTTCAGGGAGCTGATGTAAAAAATCTGCCAGCCTTTTCTCAACTGTGTATTCAGGAACAGAAGAAATAGTGCAATATGTATCTGTGGACACACTAAGACAGATTCAGGCAAACCTCTTCATTTGTAATTTTATCACCTGCTCTATATATGAATATGTTTCTTCTCAGCTGCACATTCAACCATCAATATCTGCTCTGCAATAATCAATGAATTTCTTTAAGCACCTCTCCTTTACAGGGAGCACAGGTTAGGTTTTCTCAGAAAAGGGCACTGGAGGGATATTGCAGGTGGAAGAAATTCTTCAGAACATTTGACTATTATAAATTTATTCTCACTTTTTTGTTATTTCACTTTTAAAAGTTTTTCTGGGTATGTAGTAGGTGGGCATGTATATTTATGGGGTACAAGGGAATTTTGATACTGACATACAAGGCATAATAATCACATCAGGGTAAATGTCTCCGTCACCTCAAGCATTTTTCCTTTCTTTATGTTACCAACAATTCAATTCTTCTTTTAGTTATTTTTAAAATGCACAATAAATCTGTAGTCACCCTGCCATGCTATCAAATTCTAGATCTTATTTATTCCATGTAAATACACTTTTGTACCTATTAGCCATCCTCACATGCCCTCCTCCCCAATTACCCTTTCCAGCTTCTGGTAACCATCATTCTACTGTCTCCACAATTTCGATTGCTTTAAATTTTATCTCCCACAAAGAAGTGAGAACATGCAAAATTTGTCTTTCTCTGCCCTACTTATTGCGCTTAGCATAATGACCTCCAGTTCCATTCATGTTTTTGCAAATGGCAGTGTTTCATTATCTTTATTGCTTATAGTACTCTAGTGTGTATATGTACCACATTGTCTTTATTCATTCATCTGTTGAGGCACACAGATTGCTTCCAAATTTTGGCTATCATGAATACTGCTGCAATAAAACAAGAGAGTGCAGATATCTCTGATATACTTATTTCCTTTCTTTGAGATATATACCAAGCAGTGGGATTGGTGGATCATATGGCAGATCTATTTTTAGTTTTTCAAGAAACCTCCAAACTGTTCTCCATAGTAGCTTTGCTAACTTGCATCCCTACCAGTAGCGTAGGGGTGTTACCTTTCCTCCACATCCTTGCCAGCATTTTGTTTTTTTTTTTTGCCTGTCTTTTTGATAAAAACCATTTTAACTGGGATGAGTTGATATTTATTTGTAGTTTTGATTTGCATTTCCCTGATGATCAATTATGTTGAGCACCTCTTTTAAAACCTTTTGAAAAATGTCTATTCCAATCTTTTGCTCATTTTTTACTTAGATCATTAGATATTTTCCTATTGAGTTATTTGACTTCCTTATATATTCTGGTTATTAATCTTCTGTCAAATTTTTGAAAATATTTTATCCCATTCTCTGGATTGTCTCTTCACTTTGTTGTTTCCTTTGCTGTACAGAAGGTTTTTAACATGATGTGAGCCCCTTTGTTCATTTTTGCTTTGGTTGCCCGTGCTTGTGAGGTATTGCTCAAGAAATCTTTTCCCAGTCCTATGACGTGAAGAGTTTCCTCAGTGTTTTCTTTTAGTAGCTTTATAGCTTGAGGTCTTAGACTTAAGTCTGTAATTCACTTTGATTTGACTTTTGTATATGGAGAGAGGTAGAGGACTAGTTTCATTCTTCTGCATATGGATATCCAGTTTTCCTAGCAACATTTAATGAAAAGACTGTTCTTTCCTCAGTGTTATGTTCTTGGAAACTTAATTGAAAATGAGTTTACTGTAGAGGTATGGATTTATTTCTGAGTTCTCTGTTCTTCTTCATTGGTCTATGTGTCCATTTTTGTGCTAGTATCATACTGTTTTGTTTACTACAGTTTTGTAGTATAATTTGGAGTCACCTATTGTGATTCCCCCAGTTATTTTTCTTTTTTCTTAGGATAGTATTGACCATGCTGAGTCTTTTGCAGGTCCATACAAATTTTAGGATTTTTTTTCTATTTCTGTGAAGAATACCATTGGTATTTTGATAAGAATTGCATCAAATCTGTAGATCACTTTGAGTAGCATGGACATCTTAACAATATTGATTCTTCCCACTCATGAACATGGAGTATCCTTCTATTTTTTTTGTTCTATTCAGGTACTGGCATCAATATTTTAGTTATCATTGCAGAGATCTTTTGCTTCCTTGATTAAATTTACTACTAGGTATTTTATTTTATTTGTAGCTATTGGAGGTGAAATTACTTTGTAGATTTTTGTTTCTGATTATTTGCTGTTTGTATATAGAAAGGCTATGGGTTTTTATATATTGATTTTATATCCTGTAACTTTACTGAGTTTATCAGATCTAATAGTTTTTGTTGTTGGTGGTGGATTCCTTAGGTTTTTCCAAATATAAGATGGTATTATCTGCCAACAAGGATAATTTTACTTCCTCCTTTCCAATTTGGATTCCCTTATGTCTTTCTCTTGTCTAAGTACTCTAGCTAGGAAAGGACTTCCAGTACTATGTTGATCAACAGTGGTAAAAGTGGGCATCCTTGTCTTTTACCAGTTATTTGAGGAAAAGTTTTCAGTTTTTCTGCATTTAGCTTGATTCTAGCTGTGTTTCTGTATTTGGCTCTATATGTGGTTCTGTATATATGGCTTTTATTATGTTGAGGTATATTTCTTCTATTCCCAGTTTTTTGAGAGAGCTTTTAATCATGAAGGAATGTTGAATTTTATCAAATGTTTTTCAGCATTAACTGAAATTATCATGCAGTTTTTGCCCTTCATTCTGTTGATACTATGTATCACATTGATTGATGTATTATGAACCATCCTGGGATCCCTGAAATAATTCCACTTGGTCATGATGAATAATCTTTTTAATGTGTTATTGAATTATATCTGCTAATATTTCATCAAGAATTTTTGCATCAATGCTCATTGGGGATATTGGCCTGTAGTTTTCTTTTTTGATGTGTCCTTTTTTTGTTTTGACATTGGAGTAATATTGGCCTCATAGAATGAGTTTGGATATATTTCTTCCTCTATTTTTCAGAATAATTAGAGCAGAACTGGTGTTAGTTCTTTAAATATTGGGCATAATTAAGGAGTGAAGCCATCAGGTCTGGGGCTTTCCTTTCCAGGAAGAGTTTTTAGTACAGCTTTGATCTAGTTACTTGTTATTAGTCTGTTCAGGTTTTGGATTTCTTCATGGTTCAATCTTGGTAAGTTGTATGTGTCTTAGAATTTATCCATTTCTTTCAGATTTTCCTATTTATTGGCATATAGTTGATCACAGTAGTCTTGGTAATCCTTTGAATTTCTGTGGTATTGGTTGTAATATCTCCTTTTCCATCTTTGACTTTATTTGGATCTACTCTTTTTTTCTTAATCTGAATAAATGTTGATTTAATTATATTTTCAAAAACTGACTTTTTTATCTTTTGTATATTTTTCATTTTGATTTCATGTATGTCATTTGTGATCTTTAGTATATATTTTCTTCTAATAATTTTGCGTTTGATTTGCTCTTGCTTTGTTACTTAAGATGCATCATTAGGTTGTTTATTTGAAGTTTTTCTACTTTTTTGATGTAGGCACTTATTGTTGTAAACTTTCTTCTTATTATTGCTTTTGCTGTATCCCAATGGTTTTAGTACATTGTGTTTCCATTACCATCTGTTTCAGGAATTTTTTTTTTTTTTTTGACGGAATCTTGCTCTGTCGCCCAGGCTGGAGTGCAGTGGCGAGATCTCGGCTCACTGCAAGCTCCACTTCCCGGGTTCATGCCATTCTCCCGCCTCAGCCTCCCAAGTAGCTGGGACTACAGGCGCCCACCACCACGCCTGGCTAATTTTTTTGTATTTTTAGTAGAGACAGGGTTTCACCATGTTAGCCAGGATGGTCTCGATCTCCTGACCTCGTGATCTGCCCACCTCAACCTCCCAAAGTGCTGGGATTACAGAAGTGAGCCACCGTGCCCAGCAGTTTCAGGAATTTTTTTTTCCATTTTCTTTTTAATTTTTTTTATTTACCCACTGGTCATTCCAGAGCATATTAATTTCCATGTGTTTATATAGTTTCCAAAATTTCTTTTTTAATTGATCTTGAGTTTTATTACATTGTAGTCTAAGAAGATACTTGATACAATTTCAATTTTTTTGAATGTTTTAATACTTACTTTGTGGCCTAGTATGTGGTCTATCCTTGAGGATAATCTATGTGCTGAGGAGAAGATTGTGTATTCTGCAGCTGTTGGATGGAAAGCTCTGTAAATATTTATTAGGTACATTTGGTCTATACTGCAGATTATGTCTGACGTTTCTTTGATGATTTTCTGTCTGAGTGATCTGTCTAATGCTGAAAGTGGGTGTGTTTAAGTCTCCAGCTATCATTATATTGTTTCTGTCTCTCTCTTCGGTTTTAATAAAATTTGCTTTATTATATATCTGGGTACTCCAGTCTTGGGTGAGTATATATGTACAATTGTAATATTATTTTGCTGAATTGACACTTTTATTATTATATAATGACCTTCTTTATCTCCTTTTATAGTTTTTGTCTTGAAATCTATTTTCTATGATGTAAGTATAGCTACTTCTGCCCTTTTTTTGGTTCCTATTTGCATGAAATATCTTTTTCCATCCCTTTGTTTTTGGTCTCTATGTGTCTTTATAATGAAGTATGTTTCCTGTAGACAATAGATGGTTGGCTCTTGCTTTCTATCTACACAACCACTCTATGTCTTTTGATTGGAGAGCTTAGGACATTTACATTCAATGTCATTATTGTGAGGTAACGATTTTTGACTGCCATTTTGTTATTTGTTTTCTGGGGTTTTTTTGCAATCTTCTCTTCCTTCTTTCTTTCCTTCTTGTATTCCATTTAGAAAGGATACTTTTCTCTGGTGTTGTAATTTAATTTATTGTTTTATATTTTTGTGTATCCGTTGTGTGTGTTTTGATTCGAGGTTACCATGAAGCTTGAAAATAATATCTTAAAACCAATTATTTTAAACAAATGACAACTTAACGTAGATTACATAAACAAAGAAACTAACAAATAAGAAAAGATAAAACTAATAAAAACCCTGCACCTTAACTTCATCCCACTGCTTTTTAATTTTTCTATTTATATCTGATTATACTACCTATGTCTGAAAAGTTATTGTAGTTGTTATTTCTAATAGGTTTTTATTTTGTCTCCCTACCCAATATATGAGTATTTTACACATCACATTTGCAGTGTTATTATATTCTGTGGCTTTCTGTGTGCTTGTTATTACCAGTGCATTTTGTACCTTCAAAGAATTTCTTATTATTTATTTGCATTCTTTTTTTCATATTGAAAAAACTCTTTTTTTCCATTTCTTGTAGGGCAGTTCTGGTGCTAATAAATTCTTTCTGCTTTTGTGTGTCTGGAAAAGTCTTTATTTCTTCTTCATCCTTGAAGGATATTTCCAGTAGATGCACTATTTAAGGATAATTTTTTTTTCTTATTTCAGCGCTTTAAATATGTCATGCCTTAACTGTCAGGTTTCCACCGAGAAGTTTGCTGCCAGAATGTGTAAGGCCGTTCTTGCTCTGCTATAAAGAAATACTTTATACTGGGTAATTTATTTCAAAAAAAGAGGTTTAAATTGCTCACAGTCCTGCCGGGTGTACAGGAAGTATAGCAGTATCTGCTTCTGAGGAAACCTCAGCAAGTTTCCAATCATGTTGGAAGGCAAAAGGAGAATGGGCACGTAACATGGGGAAAGCAGAAACAAGAGAGAGAGCAAATGTGGGAGAAAGTGCCACACACATTTAAACAACCAGATGTCACAAGAACTGATTCACTATTGTGAGGACAGCACCAAGGGGATGATGAGAAATTTGCTCCCATGATCCAATCATCTTTCACCAGGCGCCACATCCAACTTTGGGGATTACAATTCAACATTAGATTTAGAGGGGACACATATCTAAACTATATCATAGACATACTGGATCTCCTTGTATGTTATTTGATTCTTTTCTCCTTCTGCTTTTAAGATCCTTTATTCCTGACCTTTGGTCTTAGATGTCTCGTGATAGTCTTATTTGGGTTAAATCTGATTGTTGTTCTGTAACCTTCTTGTATTTGAATATTTATATACTTTTCTAGGTTTCAGAAGTTCTCTGTTATTATCTTTTTGAATAAACTTTTTACTCTGCTCTCTCTCTCTCTCTCAGACCAATAACTCTTAGATTTGCCCTTTTGGGGCTCTTTTTTAGATCTTGTAGGCATGATTTGTTCTTTTTCTTTTGTCTCATCTTCCTGTGTCCTTTCAAATATCCTATATTCAAGCTCATGAATTCTTTCTTCTGTTTGATCAGTTCTGCTGTTGAGAGACCGTTGCATTCTTTAGTATGCCAATATCATTTTTCAGCTCCAGAATTTCTGCTTCTTTTAATATTTCAATTTCTTTGTAAAATTCATCTGATAGGATTCTGAACTCTTCTCTGTGTTATCTTGAATTGCATTGAGCTTCCTTAGTACAGCAATTTTCAATCTCTGTCCAAAAGGTAAAAAATCTCTGTCTGCCCAGGATTGGTCACTGGTGCCTTTTTGGTGAGGTCATATTTTCTTCCATGGTCTTGATGTCTGTGGATGTTCATCAGTATCTGGGCATTGAAGGGTTAGGTGTTTAATGTAGCCCTTGTATTCTGGGCTTGTTTGTACTCATTGTTCTTGGGAAGGCTTTCCAAGTATTTGAAGGGACTTCAATCCAATACTCTGGTGTTGTGATGTAAGTCTTTGTTCACTGTAGTTTTATCTGCATGGGGGCACCCCAAACACAGTACTGCTGTGTCTCTTGCAAACTCATAGAGGTACTGCCTTGGTGGTCTTTGGTAAGATCTTGGAAAATTTCCTGAATTACCAATTAGAGACCCTTGCCTCCTTCTCTTACTTTCTGCCAAGCAAATAGAGTCTCTTTGTCTCTCTCTCTCCCTCTCATTCACTCTGCTGAGCTGCCTGGAGCTGCCTGGGGGAGGGGTGACACAAGCACCCTTGTTGCCACCACCACTAGGATTGTGCTTGGTCAGACTTAAAGCCAACAAAATTCTGGGTCTTTCCCACTGCCTGGCTACTGCGTATGTTCACTCAAGGCCCTTGGCCTCTACAATCAGCAGGTGGTAAAGCAAGCCAGGCCTGTGTCCTACCCTTCAGGGCAGCAAGTTTTCCCCTACCCTGATTGGGTCCAAAGACACCATCTGGGAGTCACGGTTTAGAGTTGGGAATCTTAGGAATCTACCTGGTACCGTATTCTAAAGCTGAGCTTGTAGCCAAGCTGCTGGACAAAGTTCTCCCTCTTCTCTCTCCTTTCTTCAAGCAGAGGATTTTCTCCCCATGGCTACCACCACCCCATGTCTGCAGTAAATACTACCTGGCCACACTGATGTTCACTCAAGGCCCAAGGGCTCTTCAGTCAGCTTGAGTTGAATGCTGCCAGGCCTGGGTCTCTTGCTTCAGGGCAGTGAGCGTCCCGCTGGCCCAGGGCAGATCCATATAAATGCCATCCGGGAGCCAAGGCCTGAAATCGGGGACCCCAGGACTCTGCTGGTGCTCTACCGCACTGTGTCTGAGCTTCAAGACAAAGCCCTCTTTTACTCTTCCTTCTTTCTCAAGTAACAGGAATCTCTCCCCATAGGAACCACAGTTGGGAATGTGCTGGTTCACACCTGAAACCAGCAAGACTCTGAGGTCTGCAACAAAAACTGCCTGGCTACCACTGTTGACTATTCAGGGCTCAGGGGCTCTTTAATCAGCAAATGATGAATCTCACCAGGACTTGGTCTTTCTCTTTAAGCAGCAAGTTTCCTTCTGGCCCAGGTTGTGTTTAGAAATGTCATCTGAAAGCTAGGGCCTGGAATGGGGACCTCAAGATTCTGCCTGGTACCATATTCTATTGTGGCTGAGCAGATATCCAAGTTGCAAGACAAAGTTCTCTTTAGTCTCCCCTCTCCTCTCCTTAAGCAGAGGGAAGGAGTCTGTCCCATAGCTTTGAGGTGTGCTACCTGGGTTTGGGGAGCAGGTGATGCAAACATTTCCTTTGGCCACCTCAGGTGAGATCTCACTAGTTCATGTGTACCCCCAAATCCACTGGCTCTAAGCTCAGCACAGCATAAGGACTTGCCCAGAAATTTTAGTTATTGTGGCTTAGATTGACTTTTAAAATAATTTAGCACTCCAGAGCACTTTAGCCCATGGGGAAGAGGATTGTTGGAACTCAGGTTCCAACTGCTAGGATACATGATTCACTTTTGGCTAGGACTGGTCTAAATGCTCCCTCTGTGGGTACCATCTGAGGTCTGTCTAGTGTTTCTGCTGTGACAGGGCAGCACTCAGTTCCAATGTGAAGACCCACAATCACCCCACTCTCCCTCCCACAAGTGCACAGATTTTCTCTCCATGCCATGCAGCCATTGCTAGGGATTGGGGAGGAACAGTATAGGCAATTCAAGACTGTCTTTTCTATACTCTCTTCAGTGCTACTTTTCTAAAAGTGATATAAAAAAAAAAGAAGAAGAAGAAGGTACTGTGATTGCTCACTTGATTTTTGGTTCTTTTTTTTTTAATACTTTAAGTTTTAGGGGTATAAATCATGCTGCTATAAAGACACATGCACACACATGTTTATTGCAGCACTATTCACAATAGCAAAGACTTGAAACCAACCCAAATGTCCAGCAATGATAGACTGGTCCATTTTTTTTTTTTTAGACAGAGTCTCACTCTGTCGCCAGGCTGGAGTGCAGTGGCAGGATCTCAGCTCACTGCAACCTCCACCTCCCGGGTTCAAGCAATTCTCCTGCCTCAGCCTCCCGAGTAGCTGGGACTATAGGCGCCCACCACCACGCTCAGCTAATTTTTGTACTTTTAGTAGAGACGGTTTTCACCATGTTGGCCAGAATGGTCTCGATCTCTTGACCTCGTGATCTGCCCGCCTCTGCCTCCCAAAGTGCTGGCATTACAGGCATCAGCCACTGCGCCAGGCCAATTTTTGGTTCTTATGAAGGTGCTTTTTTTGTGTGGATAGTTGTTCAATTTGGTGTCCCAGTGGTGGGGGGACAATTGCTCAGGGCTTCTATTTAGCCGTTTTGCTCTGCCTCCCCACTCGTTATAACATTTCTGTCTTTCTAAGTCTTGATATTTTTATCCTGTAGAAAATAAACTCTGCAGCTACTTTTATTATAGGCTACTGTTGAATCTAGATTTCTGTTACCCAATCAAGTTTACAATTAGTGCTACTTCTATGTCAGGAACTAAGTCAATAGATCTAAATACTCTGGTAGGTCCAGCTTTGTCCAATATTAAGTACCTTCCTCGGTGACATAACACCTTAGAATTTGTTCCTACAAATATTGCTTGGTTTCTTCCAACATAAATAGTAAAAAATCTTGCAGTTCCATTAATAGCTATCCTATCTCTTCCAAGTAAAATTTTGTCACTTCCTTTAGTCATCGAGTGATTTCACTCTAGTTACAGATCTGGATACAATGAGAGGTAGCTAGGTAGGTTTTCAGGAAAGTTTGCATCTGCGTGCAAGACAAATATCCCTTTTGAAAGTTATGGGTTCTATAGTATGGAGAGGTTCATCTCTACAGATGAAAAATAGAAAGTCACTTTCTCTTGGAGGGGAAACTCAGTGGGATAAAGAGATTCAATTTAGTCAGATACATTAGAATTAATCTGGTGCCCATATTATAGTTTCCCAGTTTCTCAATTACTTAAGTATAGTAAAAATGGCCATGAAGAAGCCAAATTTTATTTATTTTATAATTTATGCTGTAGCTACAGACAGACTGGAAATTGCATATATTGTCTCCAGAGCTAAAAGAAGTAAGAGTTATTTTAAGACAGCCATAGGTCTTTGGTATTTCTATCTGAGCTTGAAATGAGATTTAAAGTAATTTTCTGATCATTTACTTTCTGTAAGTTCTCCACTGTAATTAGAAGCTATGATGATTTCATAGTCATTATAATCATTATTTCCAACATTTTGTTCTATAGCATGTGCAACTTAATCTCTCAAAGCCTTGCTTCGATAAGAACTTCCTTCTAGTCAATGATAGATTATAATTTAAGTAAATGTTTTGCTATTGCATTCTATTTGCATACCCAAACAAATTTCCCACTCGTGATAAGACTATTACTATTTGAAATCAAACCAAGTCATATATAGAATTTCAATTTACAATCTATGATGCTCTGTTCTGTGAAAACTTTTCAAACACCTAATAATCAGACAAAACATGTGGAAAAAAGTCACTCTAGGTATTTCAGAGAAGACCTATTTAATAGAGGAATTTTGATAATGTAAAGCCATTGTAATGAACAATCAAAGAGGCTATTTTTAGTTTTCAGGCATTGGACATTGTAGGACTCATAGGGAAACAATGATTAATGACGTTGGTTGCTTTCAATATCAAACTAGATGGTTACTAGAAACACGCATGGGAGCTGCTGACAGAATCGCATATTTCTCTTATTGAATAGCACACATACATGCCCACAGTAGACATCAGACAAGTAGGATTTAATTCCCTTTTACTTCCAAAATTTTATGTGAGTACTTGTCATTAGCAACATTTAACCTGAAGCTTGATTTTCAAAGAATCTAAGAAATTAAGGTTCCGGTATTTTAGCCTTTGCAGTACTTGAGAAAGCACAGGAAGATGCAAGAATATTTTCTGGCACAGAAAGACATTAATTGCTTTGAGCTGATATGTTGTAAGCTCTAAGTAATCCAAATTCTAAAATTATCAATCTCCTTGCTATGCTGAAAGTAGAACACAGTGAAGAGCATATGTAAAAAATCAGAAAAGTCAATTAGGAATTTATTCCATTAGTTAAGAAAAGAGGTATCAGGTTGATATCAGGATGGCAGTGGTAGAGTTGGTAAAATGTAGTCAGATTCTGGAAATATTTTGAAGTTGAAATGAACAATGCTTCCTGCCAGATTGAATATGGAGTGTGGGGGAAAAGGTGGAGTCAAAGAACATTGGTTTTCTTGAGCAACAAAGGATTGAGTTGCCATTTATGCAGATGTGAAAAACTGTGGGTTGAGTAGATTAAGAAAGAAGACAATGATTTTAGTTTTGTATGCATTACATTTGAGAAGTTTATTAGATATATAAGTAATCACACTGTGTAAGTGGCTGAATGTTTCGGTCTGGAGTTTTGAGTGTACAGTTTGGAAGTCATCAACACATAGATGTATTTAAAGCCATGAGACAAATGAAATCTCACAAGTAGTGGGTGCATTTATGTGAGAACACAAAGACTGAGTCCCAGAATATTCCAAAATTAAAAGATCAGAAAAAGAGAAGAATCCTGAAAATGAAAATAACAGGAAACAACCAGTGATATAAGAAAATAATATTGAATCCAAGTGTGGGTGTCTCGGTGTGTGTGCATGTGCGTATGTGTTTGGTGGGGCCCAGAGTTTGTGACTGAGGACAAAGAGGCCAACTGTGTCAAATATGCTAATAGGTCATGCCAGATAAAACTGAAAGTTGACTACCAGGCTTAGCAATATGAGGATGAATATCAAACTTGACAAGAAAAAGTTATGAAGTAGTGTAGCCAAAAGTTACAAAATGAACTTCAGTGAGATGAGGGAAACAAAAGACTAGTTGTAAATAAGATAAGTTTTGGATTCTCTCCAAATTTCTTCATGTAAAACACATTCACATTTACACACATATACACAAAATCACCTCTAACAAACTAGATGAAAGGCATTCTCATGAATCACAGAATATAATTTTATCAGGTCAAACCAATGACTCCAGTAGAACCAATGCAGTGTCATTGATGTGTGTGAAAAAAGCAATGAGAAAAATACTGGTGATTTTAGTAGCCTAATATCTTGAAACCCAGAAAGTACAAATTAATATTCGCTTTTCCTAAAGAATCGTTACCCAATGAGCATATAGAAATAAGATAGTATTTTTAAAAGGACAATCATTTTAAAAAGACATATCAAATGGAAGTTCTCTCTATGAAAAGCAAAATTAAATTATTTTATTTAGGGTGAAATCAAACTTGAACAACGACTTAGTACTGAGGTGAAGCCAAGAGAAGTTTGGACACCAATAGGAGAAGCAAGCAGAGAAAACAGAGTTCAAAAGGACTGGGGGGAAAAGAGGAAGGTGAAGGTAGTTTCATAAAAAGAAAATATAAAAAGGAGACAATGAGAAATGAAAATTTGGTTGGATATAATATATAAATGCATAAATTGAATTTTGTTGTCAACCTTTCTCAAATTTATAAATATTATTAAGATATACAGTATTAGACACCAGAATCTTAGTATAGAGATTTAACCAATTATATCTAACACATCTTGTATTAAATTATCATATATTAAGAAAAATAAATGAGTGATTGGCACTATGTTATTTTGATTATTATTAAGTACAACAATTTTGCTTCCATCTGAGCTATTTAGGTTAAACTAGAAATGCCCTGTCAACTATGTGTTATAAAATCACCAACTGTTCTTACACTGACCAAGTTTCTAAGATTCTAGTCATAAGTGCTGAAAGACATCTCTTCACATCATCAAAGGATTAAATAATCTGTAATATAAAAGTTTACAACTTTAAGCCCTTAATTCAATTCTTTTGTAATACAGATACAGTCATTTTTTAGTACAGAAAGTTTGGAAGAGAGTGCTTCTATTTCCAGCTCTGTAATGTATGAACTTTCAAATAAATGAGAAAATTTAAACAGTGATTCTACCATTGATTATTATCAAGAGAGCATTTTGCAATTCATAAATCCTAGTGAATCTTATTTTGCAACTTGTCATCTTTTATAAATCACCATTTTTTTCTGTAAAAAATAGAAGTAGTTAGAAATACAAAACAGCAAAGCATATTTTAACCTATCTAATTGTGGGAATAAATTGTACTTTTCAACTTGAAGTAGATAAAATGAACATTTATCAGAAATATCATGTGGTTTTAGCTGAACATTCAGACAAAATTTTAAATGAGATTACCATTGATCTGAACAGATAAAATGAAAATAAATCATGACTAAATATAATCATCTACACTTTGGCATGATTAAATACTTTGGGGTTATGATTTATTTAGCTTACACACTTTGACATTTTACTTTGTAAACAGATGTTGGTGATCTCAGCCTTACTGGAATAATTTACTACCTCCTTCTCTTTGCCAAGGGAAAATAAAGGAAAAGCCATTTGATCCCTTACTTACAGGGGAGGCATTCTGTGGAAAATATCCATTAAAATATGATGTATACTGTTTATTATGGTAGTACACTGCAAGTTGAAATAGTAAACAAACAAAATACTACCTTATACAATAATTTGATTATTGCATTGCTAAGGATAATAGAGATATCTCGCTTACTTCTTTATGTTACATTGGCTCTCAAAATGAATGTCTGTACTTAGAAAGATGTGAGTGATAAAGTTTAACATTAAAGAAACATTTATACTCTCATGGAAATATTTAAACTATAAAGGAAATTGGACAGTATCCAGGCTTTAACATGCTTTC
Organism: Homo sapiens; assembly: GCF_000001405.40. Lineage (NCBI taxonomy): Eukaryota > Metazoa > Chordata > Mammalia > Primates > Hominidae > Homo > Homo sapiens. Next base: position 24,044,872 of record NC_000005.10, on the reverse strand, counting down.
TGACATGCCAGAATACCTGGAGTTTGGTAAGCAACACTGATCCTAGTGCTAAATTCTTGTCTGTTATAGAGAATGACACAGTTAGTTTGACATTCATAGATCAGAACATAGACCCAGACAGTGAGATAATTCTGTGATTAAAGGTGGAGATTCACTTGAGGAAAATTAAAAAGTATTTTTTATGGAGAGAGGAAAGAAAAATTACTTAATAAAATAAAATAAGGTAAAATAAAATAAAATAAGGAGTATCTGCAAGATGACCTTCTGTTTTCTGGACCGGATCCTATCATGACTATTATAGGTCCTTTCATTGAGAACTCTGGAGAAAGATTTCAAGTTTAGTGAAAGATTTCAAAAGTATCATTCCACATTAAATTTTCCTTACAGACTGTCCCCAGATTTCAATTTTCAAAATTCTATATGTCCACAAAGATTTAGAAGTAGTAAGGAGATGGACAGTTAGCCAACCTCATCCCATTATCTCCAAGATGTTCTATAGTTCAAAGAAAATCAGTACAATGAGCGAGGATCCAGGATGGAGTGAAGACTAGGAGTAAATGAGGGTGTAGTAAGTGAGGAGATACAAAACAGCGTAACTTTCTACTTTTCTCCTCACTAAATTAAAAAAAGAAAAACCTGATTTCTGTTTGGCTAAGGCACATTCTGACATATGATATGAGTTACATCTGAATTTGAATAAACAAATAATTATTACCATGTCAAGAACCATCTTGTAATGTCTAGACAGGAAATTGTGACAGTCAACAGTTTTTAGCTGGTATTGACAGAGAAAACTTACATGAGAAATAAAATTCTGAAGCATCTATGTCTCATATTCAGTGGGGATGGTGGTGGCGGCGCTATTAGTCATTGATGTAAAAGCAAAGCCTAATTTTAGATCTCTAGTTCCTAATACTAAATAAATAAACTTGAATTACATTTTTTCTGGGTTGTACCAGATATTAGTGTGAGCCACGCAAAATAATTTCATCACACTTGCTGAAAACCTAGGTAATGTTAATGATGTTCTGTTGATAGATACCCAGGGTATTGAAAGTAAAGGAAAACTGAAGTGCAATGCTGATAAAATTTGAGTGAAAAGATAGCAAATATCATTTACAAAATTCTTTGCAACCAAGCTTTCAAAAAATATGTTTGTTAGATATTCACAATTTAATGTACTTTTGAAAAACAATATGATTCTAATTTTAACAGAGAATCATTAAATGATGGGAGTTTTCTGTAGGGTATTCTGTTTGTTTTAGTTTAGGTCTTTTTTCCTCATGTAGATAGTGTTTAAATAAAAGCCTCTGTCACTGATTGCTTCTTGGGAGGGCATTCATTGTACCCAATCATTCAGAAAAAATCCAGTTACTCTGACTGGTACATATTAAAATGCAACCTCACCTTTAGAAGCATTTATTCTGTTCCTGTAATGTGCCAGGTATTAATGTTATATTATTAAAGCAGCAATAACAAATTAAATGAAAATGTCTTCAACCCTACGTCTTTAACCTAAGCAATAGTGCTTAGGTACAATGTATTACTTTAAGGTGAAAATTATACATTTAATGTAAAATAGCTATATAAATAAGTAACTTTCTTTAAAAATCATTAAACTAACCTGTAAAATCCTACATTTTTGTTAAAAAAAATGAATTTAATTTGTGTAAACATAAATAAGAGTTTGTCCTTTACTTGACTTTATCAGTAAATCATTCTGAAAATTTATGTATTATTTCATAGAAGTACCTATATAAGAAGTAAGTGTTTTGACCTACATAGCAGTGAAGAAAGCATTTAGTATATGCTGCTCTTATAATATTTTAAAAAATTTATCTTGAAAAAATAGTATTTTCATTGTAGTGGTCCTTCACTCAATGAAAATACTCCATTATTTTCAAGCTTTTTCATTTTTTTCATTACTTTCCTTCCTTTTTCCTCTCTTCTTTCCTTCAACTTCCTTTAAGTACTTAACTAAATGTCACGTGATTTGAATCCTTTTACTTTTTATTACATTCTGAGAAGTGATATAAGAGTTTTTAATTAAAAAGTAGGAATACATACAAACATAAATGATAGATTAATGAGATAGATAACTACTGAGATTTGATCAAAGTTACATGAGAACCTAGAAATATTGTGTGCATGAAATCGTTTATGTACATATCCTCAGTCTGGGCATGACATTCACTCAATTTCTTTACCCAGTCATCTACTTCATTTATTTCATTCTTAAAAAAAAAAAAAAAAGGAAAACATTGGCATTACCTACCTTGTGCCAAGAACTATGTTGAATCATGGAAAACAGAATATCCAATAAGAGACTGGCTTAACACTTTTATAGATCTTATACTTGAAAGTAGTTTCACATATATCTTCACAATAGTGTCTATAGGCCTGATTATCATAGGCCAAACATTCTTCTAAGTGTTTTACCATATGTATACTTAATTAATCACCAAATAAATCTATAGGTTAGATATTATTATTATTTCAGCTACTTTGAACTTAAGAAATGTGAAGCACAGGAGTTTAAGAATCTTATCTAAAGACACTCAGCCAGTACGTGGATAAACCAAGTTTCACACTGAGCTTATGTTGTTCCAAATTCTGTGTTATTAAACATTCCATAAAACTAACTCTTTGTAGCAGAAAATAAGCCTACATTTCTCCTTTGACAATAATTTCAGATTTTTTTTAAACCTACCTATTTAGACTTTGGTGTTCTATTTTTGTGGTTGCAGTTCTGAACAAAAACTTTCCGACAGAGAGGGCCTAGTTATTACAACAGCATTCAGTTCAAAGCTCAAGAGAGTGGTGAAGTGATGATATACAGCTGCTTGTTCCTTAAGAATATTTGGCAATTCTAATCTTCACCTGAAGGCTGATATTCCAGAGAAAACCCACAAAACGGGCCATTTATAAAGTACAAAACTACTAGAAGAGTGTGAGACAAATAAATATAACTTTAATCTTAAAAATATATAAAAATTCTTGTCATCTAGATGTTTATCATTTGTATGTCTTCTTTGGAGAAATGTTTACTCACATGCTTTACACATTTTTAATCAGGTTATTTGTTCATTGTTATTAAGTTTTTGAAATTCCTTATATAAGTTGGATATTAGCCTCTTAGCAGACATATCATTTGCAAATATATTTTTCACCATTCTTTAGGTTGCCTTTTCATTTTATTGATTCTTTTGCTGTGTGGAAAATTTTCAATTTGATGTAATTCCAATTCCAATTGTCTATTTTTGCTTTTCTTCCCTGTGCCTTTGGTTTATATCCAAGACATCATTGCTAACATCGGCAGCAAAACCTTCTTCTATATTTTCTTCTACGAGTTCTAGAGTTTCAGGTATTAAGATTAGTTCTTTAATTTATTTTAAATTGTTTTTTGTGTATGATGTATGATAAAGGACTAATTTCATTCTTTGCATGTGGATATACAGTTTTCTAGCACCATTTGATGAAGAAACTGCTTCCTCATTGTTTCTTCTTGGCACCCTAATCAAAGATCAGTTGACCATATATGTGTGGGTTTATTTTTGTCTGCTCTATTCTGTTCCACTGACCTATATGTCAGAATTTATGCCATACCATCCTGTTTCCTATTTCTTCATATTCTAATAGCCTTCCTAACTCTGTGAGGTGATGGCTTAATTAATCACACGATGGTTTTGATTTGCATTTCACTGATTATTAATAATGTTGTTACAAAAATTGATGGAATATGTTAAAGAAGATACAAATAAATGGAAACACATCTCACATTCATAAATTTGAGTTTATATTATTAAAATGCCCAATAATACTCAAATTGGTGTACGTACTCAATGCTATCCCTATACAAATCCTAATTCTATTTATAGAAAAATATCTCTTGGTGGGAATGTAAAATGCTGCAGCCATTATGGAAAACAGTATGAATCCTCCTCAAAAAATTAAACATAGAACAACCATATGATCCAGTAAATCCCATTTCTGGTTATATACCCAAAATAATTGAAATTAAGATCTCAGAGAGATATAAGCATGCTTATTGTGGCATTATTTACAATAACCAAGATATTGAAACAACCTAAATGTTCATTGATGGATAAATAAGTTAAAAAGTAGTATACACATACAATAGAATGTCATTCAGCTTTAAAAAAAGAAGGAAATCGTGTCATATGTGACATCATAGATGAAACATAAAGACATGATGGTAAGTGAAATAATCCAGTTAATGATGGACAAATACTGCATGACTCCACTTATTTGAGATGTCTAAACAGTCAAACTCATAGAAACAAAGAGAAAAGTTTTGGTTTCCAGTGATTAGGGGCAGAAGAAAATGAGGAGATGCTGTTCAATAGATAATACAGTTTCAGTTAGGCAAGATGAATAAGTTCTAGAGATCTGCTGTACAACCGATAATTGCCAGAAGGTATGCATTATAAGAAAATGTTCCAAGTATATAGAAAAGGATTCTTAAAAAATACATGGACAATAAGGGAAGATAAAAAGACATCAAAGACCACTACATACTTATTAGAATGGCCAAAATCTAGAAGACTGACAATATCAAATGCTGGTGAGCATATGGAACAACAGGAATGCTCATTAATTCCTGCTGGCAAGGCAGAATGGTACTGCCACGTTAGAAGACAGTTGAGAACTTTCTTATTTATTTATAAAACTAAGTATACTCATCATATGATCCAGTAATGATTCTTTTTGATATCTACCCAAAAACATTAAAACAAAAACTAACTTCTATCCACACAGATGTTTACAGGAGTTTTATTCATAATTTCCAAAACGTGAAAGCAATCAACAGGCCTGTTATTTAGCAGGTGAAAGGATAAATTGCAGTGAATTAGACAATGAAATGTTATTCAGAGCTAAAAAGAAATAAGCCATCAAGTCATGGATATATATGACTTTGTTTTTTAATGCATATTACTTAGTGAAGTAAGCCAATATGAAATGGCTAGCTGTGGTATGATGCCAACTATGTTACATCATGGAAAAGGCAAAACTATGGCAATAGTATAAAGATCAGTAGTTGCCATGAGTTAGGAGGAAGAGTGGCATGAATGGATGGAACATAGATGACCAGATGAATTCACAACTGAATTCTACCAGAGGTACAAAGAGGAGATGGTACCATTCCTTCTGAAACTATTCCAATAATAGAAAAAGAGGGAATCCTCCCTAACTCATTTTACGAGGCCAGTATCATCCTGATACCAAAGTCTGGCAGAGACACAACAAAAAAAAGAGAATTTTAGACCAATAAACCTGGTGAACATCGATGAGAAAATTCTCAATAAAATACTAGTAAACTGAATCCAGCAGCACATCATAAAGCTTATCCATCACGATCAAGTCGGCTTCATCCCTGGGATGCAAGGCCAGTTCAACATACACAAATCAATAAATGTAATCCATCACATAAACAGAACCAATGACAAAAACCACATGATTATCTCAATAGATGCAGAAAAAGCCTTTGACAAAATTCAGCAGCCCTTCATGCTAAAAACTCTCAGTAAACTAGGTATTGATGGAACGTATCTCAAAATAATAAGAGCTATTTATCAGAAACCCACAGCCAATATCATACTGAATAGGCAAAAACTGGAAGCATTCCCTTTGAAAATTGGCACAAGACAAGGATGCCCTCTCACCAGTAAAGGGTATTCAAGTAGGAAAATAAGTCAAATTGTCTCTGTTTGCAAATGACATAATTGTATATTTAGAAAACCCCATCATCTCAGCCCAAAATTTCCTTAAGCTGATAAGCAAGTTCAGCAAACCCTCAGGATAAAAAATCAATGTGCAAAAATCATAAGCATTCCTATACACCAATAATAGACAAACAGACAGCCAAATCATGAGTTACCTCTCATTCATAATTGCTACAAAGAGAATAAAATACCTAGGAATACAACTTACAAGGGATGTGAGGGACCTCTTTAAGGAAAACTACAAACCATGGCTCATGGAAGTAAGAGAGGACACAAACAAATGGAAAAACATTCCATGCTCATGGATAGGAAGAATCAATATCATGAAAATGGCCCTACTGCCCAAAGTAATTTATAGATTCAATGCTATCCCAATCAAGCTACCATTGACTTTCTTCACAGAATTAGAAAATACTACTTTAAATTTCATATGGAACCATAAAAGAGCCCACATAGCCAAGAAAATCATAAGCAAAAAGAACAAAGCTAGAGGCATCACACTACCTAACTTCAAACTATACTACAAGGCTACAGTAACTAAAAGAGCATGTTATTGTTACCAAAACAGATATATACACCAATGGAACAGAACAGAGGCCTCAGAAGTAACACTACACATCTACAACCATCTGATCTTTGACAAACCTGACAAAAACAATAAATGGGGAAAGGATTCCCTATTTAATAAATGGTGCTGGGAAAACTGGCTAGCCATATGGAGAAAGCTGAAACTGGATCCCTTCCTTACACCTTATACAAAAATTAATTCAAGATGGATTAAAGACTTAAATGTAAGGCATAAAACCATAAAAACCCTAGAAGAAAACCTAGGCAATACCATTCAGGACATAGGCATGGGCAAGGACTTCATGTCTAAAACACCAAAAGCAATGGCAACAAAAGCCAAAATTGACAAATGGGATCTAATTAAAGAGCTTCTGCACAGCAAAAGAAACTACCATCAGAGTAAACAGGCAAACTACAGAATGGGAGACAATTTTTGCAATCTACCCATCTGACAAAGGGCTAATATCCAGAATCTACAAAGAATTTAAACAAATTTACAAGAATAAAACAACCCCATCAAAAAGTGGGCAAAGGATATGAAGAGACACTTCTCAAAAGAGGACATTTATGCAGCCAACAGACACATGAAACGATGCTCATTATCACTGGTCATCAGAGAAATGTAAATCAAAACCACAATGAGATACCATCTCATGCCAGTTAAAATGGCAATCATTAAAAAGTCAGGAAACAACAGATGCTGGGAGGATGTGGAGAAATAGGAATGCTTTTACAGTGTTGGTGGGAGTGTAAATTAGTTCAACCATTGTGGAAGACAGTGTGGTGATTCCTCAAGGATCTAGAACTAGAAATACCATTTGACTCAGTGATTCCATTACTGGGTATTACCCAAAGTATTATAAGTCATGCTACTGTAAAGACACATGCACACGTATGTTTATTGCGGCACTATTCACAATAGCAAAGACTTGGAACCAACCCAAATGTCCATCAATGATAGACTGGATTAAGACACCATGGAATACTATGCGGCCATACAAAAGGATGAGTTCATGTCATTTGCGGGGACATGGATGAAGCTGGAAACCATCATTCTCAGAAAACTATCACAAGGACAGAAAACCAAACACCGCATGTTCTCACTCATAGGTGGGAATTGAAACTGAGAACACTTGGACACAGGGTGGGGAACATCACACACTGGGGCCTGTCGGGGGGTGGGGGGCTGGGGGAGGGATAGCATTAGGAGAAATACCTAATGTAAATGATGAGTTGATGGGTGCAGCAAACCAACATAGCACATGTATATCTATTAACAAACCTGCACATTGTGCACATGTACCCTAGAACTTAAAGTATAATAAAAAAAATAGGGATGTTTCTTAATTAGGCCCTAACTCTGCTCATTGAGATTCTCTCTCTGTTCATTGTTCTCTCTTGGTTTTGCCTCTGCTTTCTGGGATGTGTTTCTTTTTTTATTATTATCTTTGGTCACTTATAAAAAGATCATCGAAAAATATTTCCTGTTTGATGGCAGGTAAATATTATCAGCATGATTTTTGGCACTAGAATGCTCAGACCTCAGAGTAAATTTTATATCTCATTACATTCAGTCACCTCTTAGATCATATATGGCGTACTTTGCCAGTAAGTTTTTGTCAAAATGCTGTGTCTTTTATGTTTTTAATTTTAATTAATCCATTAGCTAAAAGTTATACCTAATATTCTATCACACATATGCTTCCTTCTAGACTTAAAACCAAAAATACAAAAACAAACAAACAAACAAAAAAAATTACTGCTGTAGGATGATTCTCTGTACTTACTTAAAGTCCTCTTTTTTCTTGGTAAAGAGGCTGCCTGTATATGACTTATATGTCCTTATATGGAATCCATATAACACTGATAACACCTTGAATTTAGTCAATGGCCACATGCTGTAATTGATTTTGAAGGCCCTTTACTTGCTGAAGAGTCTGGATATGAAAAGTAGCTTTATTTTCATACTCCTTCATTTTGCTGTCAAACTGGCTAGTTCTGTTCTTAAAATAAGATTTGTCTTGATGTACATTAACCATTGATAGCAAAAAAAATTGCAAATATGTTACCTAAAAACATTTCCTCCTGTTGACATTTATGTCAGATGCATTTTCAATATTTTGGTTTGATTTATACCAAATAATATATAGATTTAATTTTAACATATGTTTCACAACTAAATAGTGAATACTTTCTTAACTGCTTTTCCAGCATTCATTCATTACATGGTTCTAATGACAATGTCACACAGTGGGTTTTTGTTATAACTATACTCTAACTTTTAGTATTTTTTTTTATTATTATACTTAAGTTCTGGGATACATGTACAGAATGTGCAGGTTTGTTGCAAGGTATACATGTGCCATGGTGCTTTGCTGCACCCATCAACCCGACATATACATTAGGTAGTTCTCCTAATGCTATCCTTCCGCTTGTCCCCAAACCCCCCAACAGGTCCCAGTGTGTTATGTTCCCCTCTCTGTGCCCATATGTTCTCATTGTTTAACTCCCACTTATGAGTAAGAACATGCGGTGTTTGGTTTTCTGTTCCTGTATTAGTTTGCTGAGAATGATGGTTTCCAGCTCCATCAAAAAGTGGGAGAAGGATATGAACAGACACTTCTCAAAAGAAGACATTTATGTGGCCAAGAAACATATGAAAAAAATCTCATCATCATTGATCATTGGAGAAATACAAATCAAAACCACAATGAGATACCATCTCACGCCAGTTAGAATGGCAATTATTAAAAACTCTGGAAACAACAGATGCTGGGAGGATGTGGAGAAATAGGAACGCTTTTACTCTGTTGGTGGGAGAGCAAATTAGTTCAACCATTGTGGAAGACAGTGTGGCAATTCATCAAAGATCTAGAAATAGAAATAGCATTTGACCCAGCAGTCCCATTACTGGGTATATACCCAAAGGATTATAAATCATTCTACTATAAAGACCCATGCACACATATGTTTACTGCAGCACTATTCGCAATAACAAAGACTTGAAGCCAACCCAAATGTCCATCAATGTTAGACTGGATAAAGAAAATGTGGCAATATACACCATGGAATACTATGCAGCCAGTATTCATTTTAAATCTATGATCAATTGTTATGTACCATGTGGCCCCTAAACTCAGTGGCCAGAAGGAAAAATTATTTTATTTTTAATTTATAGGTCATCACGAAGTCAACTGTTGAAGGCTGGGGTCAGTTGGGCAACTCTAGAATCACAGATAGGTTCATGTGTATGTATGTGGGTGAGTTTGGAGATAGTTGTTCTCAGAAAAAGCTGAAGCGGCTCATCTGAGACGGCTTTGCTTTTTGTGCTTCTGATTTTCTTTCTGAGATCAAAAGCATTGTCTAAGCATGGTTTTGTAATGACATTGCATAAGTAAGTATTGGAAGTAAAGTGAAAACAAATCAAGTGTCAGGACCCAAAATGAAGTATATAATGAACACTTTTAGTAGAAATTTCAAAGTCATATATATGGTCAAGGGTGTGGATACAACGTGATTTTTCTTTTCTCTAAAATATTGCTCACACACATACTTTTGCTTGGAGTTTATATTTCTTTTCAAATACTTTTTTTCCCCAAAAAGATTTTCCTGACTTCCTTAACTGGAAATTACATTTTGTCTTATTAATTCTTATAGCTTTTTACTGTGATCAGTAATATGAATGTAGTCTTTAGAGCTTTGCAATATATCTACCTGCATTAATTACTTCAAATCCAGTTCTTATTTAAAATTCTGAAAGAAGAAACAAATATCATATTAATCATTCCATCATACATCCCAAGAATGTAGTATATAAGCTTGTCCAATATAATTACTAACATACTTAGTCTAATTATTAAATCACACCACTTAATAGGTCAATACTAATTATGTTATTGAACAATCAATTTAATAGTTTCAAGTCCTCAAATTTATATTTCTTACATAAACACTTAAATGAAAACCCAGGAAATACTTAAGTAACTGAAAACTTGTCCTATTTACATAAAAATCATATACTTTTCTGGTATAATTTATTAATATTTTATATTTAAAAGCTAGTAGGTATTGACAACTTACGTGTGTCTTCCACTAATATTAGTCTGACGAAAAGTTTACATGACTTTGAAATTTCACCTCTGAAGTACTTTACATGACTTGGACAAAAAAAAAAAGATTTCTAAATCCATTATACAATTCATTGCATTGTAGCTAACATGACATTTATAAACCAATTCAAATGAAGTATTACTATTGTAAGAATTTCATTTTGGTATCTAACCATGTAAAAAATTGTTTTAATCATAGAGTCTACTTTTCACACATCTAGCAATCACAGTACATTCAATCTATTAACAATTTTAAGTGTCAGATATTTGATTCATGTACTAAAGCAGACAAATAATTGTTAGTAAATACATGCTGAATGATTAAAAATGAGTTTCAGATAATAAGAAATTCAAGGCAGTACATTAACGTAAGTATCTTTTGGCAACCACTGATAAATGTGTATCACTGCTCAGTATAGAAGTGTTAGTAATTTATCTCGAAGCCATACTCGTCTTTTATATTGAATGCTATTAAATGTGACTTTTTTCTCGGTTGAAAGTTGCTTTTTTATTACCAAGCTTATATTATGTGTCATTACTTTATATTCTGATACATGAGTCTCTCAGATTAAGTTACAACAGCAATTTAAAAAAAACTAATAAACTCTGGAGCAAATTACTATTAGAGAAAAAAGGGGAAAGACTGCTATTTAATGCTGAATTTAATGTAAAGAACTCATTTAATCAGCAAGAAATATTTACTGAGTAATGCCTTTTTTAATGTCAAAAGCAATTTTTATCATGTTAGGTTAGTATCCATTAAGCTATGCTTTAAATATTCATTTTCCTACATAGTTTTTTTGCAGATCATATTACAAAATTATATTAAATTGCTTAATTAAAAGTAATTTTACATCTGTGTCCAATCACCTGTTACTCAGACTTGATTTAATCATTTATAAATATTTTTGAATTATTGCTACATGTAAAATAGTGTGCCCTCATGAAGTTTATTGATAAGATATGGTTTCAGTTGCTTATATTATAAACACTTGAACTTGCCTTTATTAGGCATTGAGGAAAGATTATAAACTGTATCTTAGATTGGTAGATGGCATGGAGACATTTTCCTGCTATAATCAATTCAACACTTTTCTTCTCGTAATAGGGCTAGACAAATGGTAGACAGATTAAAACATCATATTATAGTCTTGCCGTTATTTAAATGTCACATTGTCAAATAACTACCTGAAACAATAACTTCTTTAGTAGTTCTGAAATTACACTGCTCAGAGGATCCTCCCTAAAGAAAAAGGTAGATGGAAAAGTGAAAAAATGTATCGGGATTTGTAAACATTATGAGTGAATTATTATTGGAAGGACATAACTTACGTAAAGGTGGCTGTGGCAGGTAGACTCTGGAGTGACTTCCAAGAGATTCATTCACTAATGTTCATGCCCTTTTGAGATCCCCTCCCCTTGGGTGCGGATGAGACCTAAACTGGCTTCTAATCAATAGGCACACAATGAATGTGATAGGATGCACATGGTGATTTATTGTGCATGATTATTTTGTATCTGATTATCACTCACGTAACTAGAAGACTTTCTCTCCTGTGCTGGCTTTAAAGAATCAAGCTGCCATACTGTAAGTTATTTTACAGAAAGAGCCACAGGGCAAAGAGCTGAGAGCTGCTTCCTGCCAACAACTAGCAAGAAACTAAGGTCCTCAGTCCAGCACCCTGGAAGTTACTGAATTTTGCCAACAACCATGTGAGCTTGGAAGCTTGAGCCTCTCCTGAGATTGCAACACTGATACACCTTTGGAGTCAACCTGTGAGACCTTGGAACAGAGGCCCTAGCTAGGCTGTACCCTGATTTCCGACTCACAGAGTACTTGAGTTCAATAAATGTGGTTTGCTTTAAGCCACTAGGTTTGTGATAACATTTTCATGAAGAAATACATAACCAACACATTAACTAAAGATTTGAGTTTTATCAGAGGCAATATTATGACAGAAATCTCAGAAAAAACTGAAACATTATTATTTATAATGCTCTCAAAACATGGAGAACTGTAAATGCCAGTATTGTTTAAACATTTTCCTGTAAGCACTGTGTGTGTGTGTGTGTGTGTGTGTGTGTGTGTGTGTGTGTGTGTGTAGAAAGGGTTATATTTTTTGGTAAATATAGAAATAGGATAAAATAATTCAAGATGGATTAAAGACTTAAATATAAGATGTGAAATCATAAAAACCCTAGAATAAAACCTAGCCAATACCATTCAGGACATAGTGTGAATTTGATAAAGAAATAAAAATTTAGGGGACTGCTTAAGAGGCTTGTAAAGGAATTGAAGGATGAAGTAGGGCAGCCTATTCTAGGCTTAAAGCAACAATGAACTTAAGATGAAATCAATTATCACAGTACAACTTAGAGATTGCTTGTATAAAGGGAAAGAGGATAAAATATAAATTATAATATTGAGCTTGAAAAATCTGATTTTTAAACTCTGATACTAAAAAAGGGGGTAAATAAGATAACATTGCATTGATTGGTATTGGAGGAACCCGCCCCCAATATTTCAATGTAGGTTCTTTCTATTTTCATAAGTTTCAGCCAGCTGAGAAATAAAGAGAGACAGTATAAAGAGAGGAATTTTACAGCTGGGCCACTGGGGGTGACATCACATATTTGTAGGACTGCGATGCCCACCTGAGTCTCAGACCAGCAAGTTTTTATTAAGGGTTTCAAAAGGGGAGGGGGTGTAAGAACAGGGAGTAGGTACAAGGATCACATTCAAAGGGCAAAAAGCAGAACTACTAATAAGGGTCTAACAAAGATCACATGCTTCTGAGGGAACAGGACAAAGGGCAAAAACAGAACTACTGATAAGGGTCCAATGAAGATCACAAGGCAAAGGGCAAAAGCAGAACCACTGATAAGGGTCTATGTTCAGCGGTGCACATACTGTCTTGATAAACATCTTAAACAACAGAAAACAGGGTTGGAGAGCAGAGAACCGGTCCTACCACAAATTTACCAGGGTGGAGATTTTCCCCACCCTAGTAAGCCTAAGGATACTTCAGGAGACCAGGGTGTATCTCAGTCTTATCTCACCCACATAAGACAGACATTCCCAGAGCGGCCATTTATAGACCTCCCCCAAGGAATCCATTCCTTTCCCAAGGTATTAATATTAATATGCCTTGCTAGGAAAAGAATTTAGCGATATCTTCCCTAATTGCACATCCATTTATAGGCTCTCTGCAAGAAGAAAAATATGGCTCTTTTTGCCCAACCCCACAGGCAGTCAGACCTTATGGTTGTCTTCTCTTGTTCCCTAAAAAATCGCTGTTATTCTGTTCTTTTTCAAGGTGCACTGATTTCATATTGCTCAAACACACGTTTTACAATCAATTTGTACAGTTAACACAATTATCACAGTGGTCCCGAGGTGATGCACATCCTCAGCTTACGAAGATAACAGGATTAAGAGATTAAAGTAAAGACAGGCATAAGAAATTATAAAAATATTATTTGGGAACTGATAAATGTCCATGAAATCTTCACAATTTATGTTCCTCTGCCACAGCTCCAGCTGGTCCCTCCGTTCAGGGTCCCTGACTTCCCACAGTGGATTGGTCAGTGGAATGAGCTGGAATATGCTGAGCTCATTATATTACACTTGAAACACCAACAGGATATCTTAAATGACAATATACAAAAAAGGACTTAAGAATTAAAACTAGAGGAATGTATATGACCATCATTAGGATTTGAATTAATTATGAACATTAACATACTAAGAGTAAGGCAGAGGAAAGAAAATTGCAAACAGATGGGGGCTGAGTTCAGTGTAACTAAGAATAGAGAAATTATTATAAAACATTAACTATTTAAATAATATTTTATTTTTCTTTATTTTTATAATATTTGTGATATTTTTATAAAAACAGTCCTACCTACATTCATATTGAACATTTATTTAGAAAATAAAATTATAACACCAACAGTGACCAAGTGGGTAATCAAATCAAGAACTCAATCCCTTTTACAATAGCTGCAAAAAAAACACAAAATACTTAGGAATATACCTCACCAAGGAATCAAAAGACTTCTACAAGGAAAACTACAAAGCACTACTGAAAGGAATCATAGATGACACAAATGGAAACATATTCCATGCTCATGGACGGGTAGAATCAATATTGTGAAAATGACAATACTGCCAAAAGTAATCTACAAATTAAATGCAATCCCCATCAGAATACCACCTTCATTCTTCACAGAATTAGAAAAAAAAATTCTAAAATTCATATGGAGCCAAAAAAGAGCCTGCATAGCCAAAGCAAGACTAAGCAAAAAGAACAAGTCTGGAGCCATCACACTACCTGATTTCAAAATATACTATAATGCCACAATCATCAAAACAGCATGGTACTGGTATAAAAAAATAGACACATAGATGAATGAAACAGAAGGGAGAATCCGGAAATAAACCCAAATACTTACAGCCAACTGATCTTCGTCAAAGCAATCTAAAACATACAGTAGAGAAAGGACACCCTTTTCCACAAATGGTGCTAGAATAATTGACTAGCCACATGTAGGAGAATGAAACTAGATCCTCACCTCTCACCTTATGCAAAAAACAACTCAAGATGGATTAAGGACTTAAACCTAAGACCTGAAACTATAAAATTTCTTGAAAATAACATTGGAAAATCCCTTCTAGACATTGGCTTAGGTAAGGATTTCATGACCAAGAACCCCGAAGCAAAGGCAATAAAAACAAAGATAAATAGGTGGCACCTGATTAAACTAAAGAGCTTTTGCACCACAAAAGGAACCCTGAGCAGAGTAAACAGACAACCCACTAAGTGGGAGAAAATCTTCACAATCTATACATCTGATAAAGGACTACAGAATCTATAACAAATTCAAACAAATCAGTAAGAAAAATTACTTACAAACAATCCCATCAAAAAGTGGGAAAAGGACATGAATAGACAATTCTCAAAATAAGATATGCAAATGGCCAAAAAACATATGAAAAAATGCTCAAACATTACTAATGATCAGGGAAATGCAAATCAAAACCACAATGCAATACCACCTTACTCCTACAAAAATGACCATAATCAAAAAAATAAATAAACACTAGATGTTGGCACAGATGCAGTGAACAGGGAACCCTTTTACACCTTTGGTGGGAATGTAAACTAGCACAGCCACTATGGAAAATATTGTAGAAATTTCTTAAAGAACTGAAGGTAGAACTACCATTTGATCCAGCAATCCCACTACTGAGTATCTACCCACAGGAAAATTAGTACTTTACAGTTCTTAATTGACTTCTTTTCTTCTTGTATTTTTTATTTTATATTATTATTATTATTTGATTTCAATAGGTCTTGGGGGAAGAGGTGAGATTTGGTTACACAGATGATTTCTGTAGTGGTGATTTCTGAGATTTTGGTGCACCCATAACCTGAGCAGTGTACACTGTACCCAGTATGTAGTCTTTTATTAATTACCCCCTCCCACTTTTCCCCCATGTCTCCAAAATCCATTTATTATTCTTCGGCCTTTGTGTCCTCATAACTTAGCTCCCACTTATGAGTGAGAACATAATATGTTTGGTTTTCCATTCCTGAGTCACTTCACTTAGAATAATGGTCTCCAAATACATCCACGTTGCTGTGAATGCCATTATTTAATGTCTTTTTATGGCTGAGTAGTACTTCATTTTATATATATAGACCACATTTTCCTTATCCACTCATTAATTGATGGGCATTTGAGCAGGTTCCATTTTTTGCAATTGTGAATTGTGCTGTTATAAACATGCGTGTGCAAGCATCTTTTTCATATGACTTCTTTTCCTCTGGGTAGATACCCAGGAGTGGAATTGCTGAATCAAATGGTAGTTCTACTTTTACTTATTTAAGGCATCTCCACACTATTTTCCATAATGGTTGTATTAGTTTGCATTCCTACCAACAATTTAAAAGTGTTCCCCTTTCACCACATTAACATCAACATCTGTTATTTTTTTTTATTTTTTGATTATGGCCATTCTTGCAGGAGTAAGATGGTATTGCATTGTGGTTTTGATTTATATTTCCCTGATCATTAGTGATGCTGAGCATTTTTACATATGTTTGTTGACTATTTGTAGATCCCCTTTAGAGAATTGCCTATTCATATTCTTTTCCCTCTTTTTGATAGGATTTTTGTTTCTTGCTGATTTGTTTGAGTTCCTTGAAGATTCTGGATATTAGTCCTTTGTTGGATGTATAGATTGCAAAGATTTTCTCCCACTCTGTGGATCGTCTGTTTACTCTGCAGCTGATGATGATTTTTTTTGCTGTGCAGAAGAATTTTAGTTTAATTAATTCTCATCTATTTATCATTGTTATTGTTGCATTTGCTTTTGGGTTCTTGGTTATAAAGTCTTTGCCTAAACCAATGTAAAGAAGGATTTTTTGATGTTATCTTCTATAATTTTTATGGTTTCAGGCCTTAGATACAAGTCTTTGATCCATCATGACTTGAGTTTTGTATAAGGTGAGAGATGAGGATCCAATTTCATTCTTATATATGTGTTTTGCCAAGTATTCCAGCACCATTTGTTAAATAGGTTATCCTTTCCCTGCTTTATGTTTTTTTGTGTGTGTTTCAAAGATGAATTGTTGGTAAGTATTTGGCTTTATTTCTGGGTTCTCTATTATGTTCCATAGATCTATGTGCCTATTTTTTATACCAGTATTATACTGTCAAGGCCTTACTGTGTAGTTTGAAGTCAGGTAATGTGAGGCCTCCAGATTTGTTCTTTTTTCTTAGTCTTGCTTTGGCTATGCAGGCTCTTTTTTGGTTCCATATGAATTTTAGAAATGTTTTTTCCACTTATGTGAAGAATGATGGTAATATTTTGATAGGAGGTGCACTGAAATTGTAGATTGTCTTTGGTAGTATGGTCATTTTTACAATATTGATTCTACCCATCCATGAACATGAGATATATTTCCATTTATTTGTGTCATCTATGATTTCTTTCAGCAGTGTTTTGTAGTTTTCTTTGTAGAGGTCTTTCACTTCCTTGCTTAGGTATATTCCTAAGGGTTTTTTTTCTTTTTTTGGGAGCTATTGTAGAAGTGGTTGAGTCTTAATTTGGTTCTCAGCTTAATTGCTGTTGATGTATAGCAGTGCTACTGATTTGTGTACATTAATTTTGTATCCTTAAAGTTTGCTGAATTCATTTTTCTGTTCTGGGAGCTTTTTAGATGAGTCTTTGGGGTATTCTAGGTATACGATCATATAATTGGCAAACAGCAACAGATTGACTTTCTCTTTACCAATTTGGATGCCCTTTATTCCTTTTTCTTGTCTGATTGCTGTAGCTAGGACTTCCAGTACTATGCTGAATAAAAGTGGTAAAAGTGGGCATACTTGTCTAGTTCCAGTTCTCAGGTGGAATGCTGTCAACTTTTCCCTGTTCAATATAATGTTGGCAGTGGGTTTGTCATAGATGGCTATTATTACCTTAAAGTATGTTCCTTCTATGCCAACTTTGCTGAGGCTTTTAATCATAGAGAGATGTTGGATTTTGTTGAATGCTTTTTCTGCTGCTAACGAGATGATCATGTGATTTTTGTTCTTAATTCTCTTTATGTGGTGTATCATACTTATTGACTTGTATATGTTAAACCATTCCTGCATGTTGGGTATAAAACCCACTTGATCATGGTGGATTATTATTTTTTATATGCTTTTGGATTCTGTTAGCTAGTATTTTTTTTGAGGATTTTTACATCTACGTTCATCAGGAAAATTGGTCTGTAGTTTTCTTTTTTTGTTATGTCATTTTCTATCTTTGGTATAGGGTAATATTGCCTTCATAGACTGATTTAGGGAGAATTCTCTCTTTATCTTTTGGAATAGCATCAATAGGATTAGTACCAATTCTTCTTTGAATATCTGATAGAATTCATCTGTGAATCCATGTGGTCCTTTTGTGAATCCATGTGGACTTTTGTTGTTGGTGGTGGTAACTTTTTAATTACCATTTCAATCTCATTGCTTGTTATTGGTCTGTTCAGAGTTTCTGTCTCTTTCTGCTTTAATTTAGGAGAGATGTATATTTCCAGGAACTTATCCATCTCCTCTATTTTTTTCTAGTTTGTGTGAATA
The DNA here is from genome assembly GCF_000001405.40 of Homo sapiens. NCBI lineage: Eukaryota > Metazoa > Chordata > Mammalia > Primates > Hominidae > Homo > Homo sapiens. The sequence continues at coordinate 24,026,316 of NC_000005.10, read as the reverse complement.
AAGGTGTTCATAGTAACCTTGAATGTTCTCTTTTATTTCTGTGGTATCAGTTATAATATCTCCTGTTTCATTTCTAATTGAGCTTATTTGGATCTTCTCTCTTTTTTTCTTCGTTACTCTCACTAACATTATATCAATTTTTTCTCTCTTTTCAAATAATCAGCTTTTGTTTCATTTATCTTTTGTATTATTTTTTGGTTTCAATTTCATTTAATTCTGCTCTGATCTTTGTTATTTCTTTTCTTCTTCTGGGTTTGGGTTTGATATGTTCTTATTTCTCTAATACCTTGAAGTGTAACCTTAGATTGTTTTTTTGTGCTATTTCAGACCTTTTGATGTAGACAGTTAATGCTGTGAAATTTCCCCATAGCACCACTTTTGCTGTATCCTAGAGGTTTTGACAGGGTGTGTCACTATACTTGTCCAGTTTAATTTTTTTTTTAATTTTCATCTTTTTTTTTTGTTGACCCAATGATAATTCAGGAGCAGGTTATGTAATTTCCATGCATATTCATAATTTTAAGGATTACTTTTGAAATTGATATCCAGTATTATTCCACTGTGGTCTGAGAGAGTACTTGATATAATTTTGATTTTCTTCCATTTATTGAGACTTGTTTGTAGCCTATCATATGGTCTATTTTGAAGAATGTTTTATGTGCTGATGAATAGAAGGTGGTATAGTTTAAGTCCATTGTTTCTTTGCTGACTTTTTGTCTTGATGACCTGCCTCGTGCTGTCAGTGGAGTATTGAATTCCCCCACCATTATTTTGTAACTATCTGTCTCATTTCTCAGGCCAAACGGTAAATGTTTTATAACTTTAGGAACACCAGTGTTAGGTGCATATATATTTAGAAGTGTGATATGTTCCTCTTGGACTAGTTTTTTTTAAATCATTATATAATGTCCCTCTTTGCTCTTTTTACTGTTGTTGCTTTAAATCTTGTATTATCTGATATAAGAATAACTACTCCTGCTAGTGTTTGGTGTCTATTTGCATGGGATAACTTCTTCTGCCCCTTTCCCTTAAGGTTATGTTTTAGGTGAGTCTTTTGAAGACAGCAGATGCTTGGTTGGAGAATTATCCATTGTGCCATTCTGCATGTTATAAGTTGAGCGTTTAGGCCACTTACATTCAATGTTAGAATTGAGATGTGCGGTACTATTCTATGCATTGTGCTATTTTTTGACTGAGTGCCTTTGGTTTTTTATTGTGTTATTGTTTTATAGGTCCTGTGAGGTTTATGCTTTAAGGAAGTTCTATTTTGGTGTATTTTGAGGATTTGTTTCAAGATTTAGAGTTCTTTTTAGCCATTCTTGTAATAATGTCTTCATAATGGCAAATTCTCTCATCATTTGTTTGTCTGAAAAAGACTGTCTCTTTCATTCATTTATGAAGCTTAGTTTTACTGGGTACAATATTCTTGACTAATAATTGTTATGTTTAAGGAAGGTAAAGATAGGATTCCAATATCTTCAAGCTTATAGGTTTTCTGCTGAGAAATCTGCTGTTAATCTAATAGGTTTTACTTTATAGGTTACCTGATGATTTTGCTTCACAGCTCTTATGAATCTTTCCTTTGTCTTGACTTTAGATAATCTGATGACTGTGTGCCTAGGCAATGATCTTTTTGCTATGAATTTCCTGGGTGTTCTTTCAGATTCTTGTCTTTGGATGTCTAGATCTCTAGCAAGGCCAGTGAAGTTTTTCTCAATTATTCCTTCAAATACGTTTTCCAAACTTTTAGATTTCTCTTCTTTCTCAGAAACACCAATTTTCCTTAGGCTTGATCATTTAACACAATCCTCAACTTCTTGGGGGCTTTGTTCATTTTTTTTCTTGATTCTTTTTCTTTGTTGGATTGGGTTAATGCAAAAGCCTTGTCTTCTAGCTCAAAAGTTCTTTTCTCAATTTTGCTGGCGCAAAATTGCAATTACTTCTGAACCAATGTAATACTTGTTCAATTCTTTTGCTGAGACTTTTCAGTGCATTTGTCATTTCTCTAAGTGTGTCATTTCCAGAAGTTGTGATTGTTTTGTATTTATGCTATTTCTCTGGAGATTTTCCCATTCATATCCTGTAACACTTTTTAAATTTCTTTAAGTTGGACTTCACCTTTCTCTGGTGCCTCCTTGATGAGCTTAGTAATTGATCTTCTGAATTCTTTTTACAATTAAGAGATTTCTTCTTAGTTTGGCTTCATTGCTAGTGAGCTAGTGTGATATTTGGGGGGTGTTAAAGAACTTTGTTTTGTTGTATTTTCAGAATTGTTTTTCTGCTTCCTTCTGATTTGGGTCATCTATGTCAGAGGGAAGAGCTCAGGATCAAAGGCTGCTGTTGAGATTTTTTTTTTTTTTTTTTTTGTCCCACGGGCAGCTCTCTTGATGTGGTGTTCTCCCCATTCCCCTAGGGATGGGGCTTCCTGTGAGCCAAACTGCAGTGATTATTATTTCTCTTCTGCATCTAGCCACTCAGTGAAGCTACGGAGCTCCAGGCTGGTACCGGGGAGTGTCTGGAAAGAGTCCTGTGATGTAATTCACCTTCAGGTCTTTCAGCCATGAATACCGGCACCTGCTCTGGTAGAGGTAGTAGGGGAGTGAAATGGACTCTTTGAGGGTCCACAGTTGTGTTTTTGTTTAGTGGGCTGGTTTTGTGTTGGTTGGCCTCCAGCCAGGAGGTGGCACTTTCAAGAGGGCATCAGCTGTTGTAGCACAGGGAGGATACAAGCTTGCCCTAGTGTTGCTTGGATAAGTATTTGGGTTTTTTAGGTGGTCAGAGGAGGGGAAATCAGATCCCAAGAGATTGTTTCCTTTGTTTTTGCTGTAGCTGAAGTCAGATTCTCCTTGGGTGGGGCTTGGCGTGGCCACTGTGGGGGATGAGGGAGTGGTTCTCAGGCCAACGGAGTTATGTTCCCAGGAGGATTATGGCTGCCTCTGCTGCATCATACAGGTCACCAGGGAAGTAGGGAAAAGCCAACAGTAACAGGCCTTACCCAGGTCCCACATAGACCAAAAGGCTGGTCTCACTTGCACTGTGCCCCCCTCATGGAACTGAGTTTATTTCCAGGCAGCTGGTGAGCAGGGCTGAGAACTCTCCCTAGGCTACAAGCCTCCCCACTGAGAAGGCAAGCAGAGCTTTCAGTTTTCACACCACCCTGCCTGCCATGGCTTCTGTGCTTGTATCTGCACTCCCCATTCACCTCCTCCCCCATAGTCTGTCCAGGAAACTTCACGTTTGGTGTAAATTGTTACAAAGTTCAGCTGACATTTTTTTCTCCCTGTGGTCTCACCAATTCCACTGACAGCCCTTCCCAAGAACTCCTCTGAGCCACAGTCAGAAATGGCTACCCTGGGGACTGAGAGTGCCCACAAGGCTCTTCCCACTGTTTCCTCTACCCCTATATTTTGCTCAGCTCCCTAAATTCTTCTCAGCTTCAGGTATGGTCAAATTCATCTCCCAGGTCTCAATGTTCAGGTTCACCAGTGAGGATGTGTGTTCAAGGGTGGACAGTTCCCCTCCCACACTTTGAACAATCACAGTTTTTTGGTTGTCTCAGGGAGCCTGCAGTGTTAAGCTGCTTCCTTCAAAGGGTCTGTGGATTCTCTTGGCTTTCCTGGTATGTTTCAGTGGTAGTTCTTGGAGCAAAAGTTCACAGTGTGAATCTCCACATGCTGCTGTGTCCATCCAAGTGAGAACTGAAAGTTAGTTTTGTCTCCTATCAGCCATTTTTCCAGACTTCGTTCCACAGATATTTATTTCTCTAGTTGGTATAATAAAAGATAATGCAAGCTTTTTTCTCAAATGTTAACTTTGTGTAAACTGATTTGCAACCAATCAAATAAACTTACTCTTTCTCCTTTATAGGAAGAATGAAATGCTGCATCATTTAGAATGAATGCATAAAAAGTGATCACTGTTATGGAGTTGTTCACACAATTTCTTAAAACCATTTAAAGTGTATAATAATAATTATAAAATGTATATAAGAACACTGAAGTTAGCCTTGTTATCAGGAATATTTTAAGAGGTGTTCAAAAGTAGGCAAAAATTCTTCTTTGTAGTATATACAACAATACCACACCTAATATGCTTACCTAACATTCCATTTTCTAAACCCATTTCCACTATCAAATTTGGGACATTATGTAAGTCACTAATAATCCCTGAGTATGTGTTTATTTTTATTTTATATGTTTTTACATAATTTACTTATGGACTACCTAGAAGAGACCTAAGAGACAGTTGAAGATACAGCAGATTATTTAATAGGATGACTCAGGAGTGTCAATGGATATACCAGATATGTCAAATGAAAAAATTATTATTTTCCCAATAGAACATTCTAAAGTATCTATAGGCTTAATACATTTTTTCCAAAAATACCCCAGAGCTCTTAGTACTTTTTCAATCCAACTTTAAAGACTTAAGCTATTATATTCTCATTGCCAGCAATATATTACTCAAGTAGCATCTTTTATATAATTTAGCAGATTTAAATTCATACAGCATATGTTGTTACATAAGATTCTTATTTTAATACCTATATAAATATCTTGCTGTTAGCTTTTTAAAGAAAACTAATGATTTAAAAAAATGTCTCATTAACACATGTGCTAAAATTTAACTTTCTAAAGATAATCTTGAAAACACATTTACAGCTAACTTTTTGTCTCTTAATCAATGTGCATGACAGATAGAAATGTATTACATAAATACCTGAGAGAAACTAATGAGATGAATGATAGCAATGTCTTTAAAAATAACTCCTGTGGATTCTGATTAGGACAAATCATCTATTACCTAAATTTAAAACTGTAAATGTAAGATCAATCACTCCAGCATCTTATCCTTATGTGAAACACATCCTTCTAAATTAAATGTATATTTCCTTCTATATCAAGTTTGTCTTCAAGGGTCTTTAAAAAAAGTTATCTTGGGGCTTGATGCATCCATATTTTCACATACTTTTAAGAAGAAATAACTAAATCTCAAGTATGTAATCTCTAAGCTTTAATCATGCATAGCTAATGTGAAAGCATATGGTTGCTTTTATTGTATTCAAAATAAGATGGAATTTTATAACTTCCTGTACTATATTACAGCAGCAATAATGTACTACTGTGGCTCTTACATGCTTGGAGTTGAATTCTGATTCTGCTGCTATCTGCTTCATCATGAGCATTTAGATAAGCTTTTGTTGCTTCAGTTTTCTCATTTTAAAAATTGAGCTATTAAAAGTAATTGCTTAATATAAATTTTATGATAATTGTATAAGAACATGCAAGTTAGGCCTATAAAAGAGAGAGAAATAATGTAAATAGTCAATAAGCAGGACTATTACTGATAATAATTTTTAATCACTATGTGACTTTAGATTCCCCTAACCCCCCATTAGACTTAACTATTTTATGTTGTATTAAAGTTAGTCATGTTAGTCAGTATGCTATGCTTCCATCATGAATTGATGTAAAGTATTTTTCAGAAGAAAAACCAGTGTAAATTTGAAAATATTTAATAAATCTCCTACTTATTAAGATGTTAAGGCTCTGCATTTAATTTTTTTAAGTGACTGGATTACTATCCACTGTTAGCTACTAATTAAACATAGTATTGTACCTCCTTGATCTTTGCTATGGGACTCTGCAGTGCTTTCTTTCCAGTAGACTAGAAATAGTAAACATCCCCATCCCATTGACTCTGGATTTGTCCATGTAAATGGCTTTGACCAACAGGATGTGGCAAGAAGAGAAGTGTGCTCACTCCTAAATAAAGGCTTCAAGAAGAACTATAATATGCTTGACCCTCGAGCTTACTTCAGGAACAATATCATGTCTCAGAGAGTAGATGCTTTTTCTGGCCAATGTTCTAGAATTAAAGAAATTGTGGAGTCAACAAGAACTCAACAGAACTTCAGTCATCAGGAGAAGAAATAAACATTTGTTTTTGTTTTTTTCTAAGCTAATAAGATTGGGGGTTGTTCTTTACCATGGAAAAAGGCTGACTAACACATATGCTAAAGGCCTTTATATAAAAAGAGAAAATATAATTTCACCTAATAGAGAAAGGGAAAAAATAATATTTAAAAAGAAAAATACTAATTAAAACCTATTTTTCTCTGCAAAAAAAATGCTCAGGATAGTAAAACCTATTGAAATAAAAAAAGACATTAGGTATATAAAGAAAAAATATAAAATTTTATGCTATATGTTAAAGTAGGGTATGATGGTTATTTTTATGTGTCAGCTTGTCTAGGTTATGATGGCTAGTTATTTGGTCAAACATTATTCTGGAAGTTCCTGTAAGGGTATTTTTGGATGAGACTAACACTTAAATCCATGGACTTTGAGTAAAGAAGATTGTACTTCTTAGTGTGAGTGAGCCTCATTCTAACAGTTAGATGCCCAAATAGAAAAAAGACTGACCTCTCACAAATGAGAAGAAATTATGTCAGTAGGTGACCTTCCTCTCAGTTTCCATTTGTCTTCACTTTGTCTCCAACATGTCTGCTCACCCTGAAGACTTTGGTTTGACAGCCTCTATAATTGTTTGATCCAATTCCTTAAAATAAATGTGTGTATACATATATACAGCTGTCCCACCACAGTTCTAAGGGATTGGTTCTCCTCAAATACGAAAATATGAGAATGCTTATGTCTCTTACATAAAATGGTGCAGTATTTGCATTTGCATATAACCTATCCACATCCTGCTGTATACTTTGCTTATCTCTAGATTACTTATGTAACCAGATATGATGAAAATGTCATGCAAATAATTTTTATACTCTATTTTTATTTACATTACTTGTATTGTTGTATTGCTATTGTTCATTGGTGTATTTTTCCAAATATTTTCAATCCCCTGTTGGTTTAATTCATGAATGTAAAACTTGCAAATATGGAAGGCTGACTTTATTATATACATCCTACTTGATCTGTTTCTTTGGCAAACTCAGACTGATATAGATTTGGTACTAGAAGTGGTTCTAGAAGAATAAAATTGTAAGGATGAGGTTTTTAAATTGATTCTGGGATTTCTGGAATTGGCTCTCTAATCAGATTAGATTTAATGATGCTAATCAATCTATTTCCAGTAGTAAAGAGAGCACTGGTAGTCCATGTTGTGATGTGGCAATAGAGATACTCAAAATGTCTCAATTGAATATACCAAATCAAATATTTATAAGAGGTAAGGATCTGAATGATCATATTTATGATACCATTAAACATTTTTTTGTCAAATTAACAAGTATAATGAAATTTACTGTTTGTTCCTGATGTTGCTTTTAAAGTAGGAAAAGAAAAGAACAGAGCTAAAGGATTCTAATTTCTAGCTCAAGTGCTTCACAAATGACCTGAAATCTTCTGTATCTGCTATAAAAGAGATATTTATCCCTTAGATGACAAGGCCGAGACTATTTAAAATCAAACCCAGAATCTCATCTAACTAATTGCTAAATTACAAGGCAAATTTAATTATCAGCCTCACAGTGTGCCTATTGTGAAGATTAAGACATAGACTGAGAAGAAATGAGATTCTGAATGTTGGAATGGGGAGGCATTGGCAATACCCTGATAAAGCTGGAGACATTGAGACCTTAAATTCTGATGAGTCTCCTTGGGCTGTAGAAGCAGCCTCTCTACCCTAAGGATATTAACCCCATATTGCTTGAGAACACTGAAATGGCCTTCCCTGAGACAGATGGCTTGCAAGAAGACAATGCTGATTCTCCTTAGGTACTACTCTCACTGCCCTCTTTCACTTGTAGCCTTACTACTAAACACAAGTCCTAGCGGTCCATGAAGGTGAGGTACAAAGTGTATCCCATTATGAGATGCATTATGGTGCAAAAGAAGTACTTGATTTTTCTAATTTATGCAAATAAAAATTTAGGAAATGTGTGGGAATGGATATTAAGGGTGTGAGATAATTGTGGAAGGGGCATAAAGTTGAATTAGGACTAATTTATTAATATGGAGTCACTAAGCAAAACCTCTGCATTTAATGTTGTATGTAGCTCAGGGAGTAAGAAAGGGCTGTAAGAGATTGTTTGCTTGGTTGGCTGAAACAGCAACAATAAGGTGGGCCATATTAAATGAACTAGAAATGCTGGACCTACCTTGACTTACTGTACTATTCTTTTTTTTTTTTTTTTTTTTTTTTTTTTTTGAGACGGAGTCTCGCTCTGTCGCCCAGGCTGGAGTGCAGTGGCGAGATCTCAGCTCACTGCAAGCTCCCTCTCCTGGGTTCACGCCATTCTCCTGCCTCAGCCTCTCGAGTAGCTGGGACTACAGGCACCCACCACTGCGCCCGGCTAATTTTTTTGTATTTTTAGTAGAGATGGGGTTTCACCATGTTAGCCAGGATGGCCTCAATCTCCTGACCTTGTGATCCACCCGTCTCGGCCTCCCAAAGTACTGGGATTACAGGTGTGAGCCACCGCGCCTGGCCAACTTACTGTATTATTCTTAGGGTGGTCAGCCAGCTACCTGGCAACAGGTTAATTGCATTGAACTACTTCTATCAGGGAAGGAGTGGCATTTTTTTTTTATTCTTACAGAAATAGGCACGTACTATGCATATGGATTTGCCTTCCCTCCCCTCAATGTTTCTTCCAAAATTACCTTCCATGGACTTACAAAATGCCTTTTCTATCATTATGGTATCCCACACAACATATTGTTTCTGATCAAGGAAGTCACCTCAAGTAAATTCAGTGTAACAATGGGCTCTTGTCATGGAATTCAGTTGTCTTATCATGATCTCCACTGCTACAGAGTGGAAAGTTTTCATGCCCCTAATATTTATATGTTAAAGACCTCACATCTAGTGTGGCTGTATTTGTAGATGGAGCTTCTCAAGGAATAAAATTTTAAAAAATGAGGTCATAAGCGTAAAGCCCAGATTCGAGGGAAAAAATAATTTTTTAAAAAATTAAATACTAATTAAAACCTATTTTTCTCTGCAAAAAAAATGCCCAGGGTAGTAAGGCCTGATGTCCTTAGAAGAGACATCAGAGATCTTGCTCTCACTCTCCATGCTCATGCACAGGGAAAGTTTATGTGAGGACATAGAGGGATGCAGCTATCTACAAGCCAGGAATGATTCCTCACCAAAAACCAAATTTTCTGGTATCTTGATCATGAATTTCTTGTCTCCAAAATTGTGATACACACATTTCTGCTATTTAAACCACCCAGTCACATATTAACTCTTGAATAATTTAATTTCAGAGGATTTTAGTCAAAATCATAATAAATGTGTTTTTTAAATATCCATGGAGTATGATCAATTTTCTCTGTGATACATCATAACACACCCTTAAAAATGTAAGAGCAAATTAATATGAGCAATAAACAATGGTGCAAAGTCTATTTTTAGACTTCTCCAGATGACTGTATTATTTTGCAAAAAGCCCCCAAATTTTCTCTACAATGATTTCATTATTGTATTGACAAGTGTATGTGTGTGTGTACATATATGTGTGTGTTTGTGTGTGACTGAATGTGTATAAACATCATGTGCTGCATAACATTTTAGTCAACAATGAAGCAAATATACACTAATGATCTTATAAGATTATAATAGTATAATTTTACTGTACCCTTTCTATATAATACACAAATGCTTACCATTGTGTTATAATTGCCTACAGTATTCAGTATAATACCATGCTATACAGCCTTGTAGCTTAGATGCAATAGGCTGTACCATATAGCCTATGTATATATTCAGTTATATCACCTAGGTTTGTGTAAGTATATTCCATTATGCTTGAACAACATTTAAATTACTCAGTGAGGCATTTCTCAAAATGTTTTCTTATCATTAGGAGATACATGACTTTATTTTAAAAAATATATATGTATATTGCATGTCTATTTGAAAAAAAAAATGTATATATGAAAAAAAATATACCAAATACAAAATAGTAACTTCACAAGTAATTTAAAATTTGGAAGTCATTTGAAACTTCAGATATCAGAGGAACAATATGTAATGAGAAAAATATCTCTTTTTCTTAACATTCTAAAAACAATATTTTCCATAAAATGAATTTGTTTATTATTTTTCATTCTTATTTTTATGATTATTTGACTTTGTAAATATTGTTTCAACTTCAAAAACAATATTACAATGTCATCTGCTTAGCCTCAGTGTGTTTTATCTTTCAAGTAATACATAATTCACAGTAAGTACATTTTATATTTAACATTTGAATTTTAAAGAACTATACTAAAATTATTTAATTTGCATTTACTCATATACACACATTTACTATTTTGTTAACTGTACATTTTTCTTATCCTTTTTTGTTCTCAGTTTGATAAAGTATAATTTTTTTTCTTTTTGAGACAGAATCCTGGTCTGTTACCCAGGCTGGAATGTAGTGGTATGACCTTGGCTCACTGCAACCTCTGCCTCCCAGGCTCAAGCCATCCTCCCACCTCAGCCTCATGAATAGCTGGGACCACAAGTTCCCACCACCATACCCGGCTAATTTTTTGTATTCTTGGTAGAGACAGGATTTCACCAGGTTGCCCAGTCTGGTCTTGAACTCCTGAGTTAAAGCAAGCCTCCTGCCTTAGCCTCCCAAAGTGCTAGGATTACAGGTGTGAGCCATTGTGCCCGGCCAAGTATAAACTTACTTTTTATTCCAATTATATGAATCTGCTTGTGCTGCTATAACAAAATACCATAAACTGGATGATTTAACAGACATTTATTTCTCACTCTTCTGGAGCCTGGGAAGTCCAAGATCAAGGACTGGGCCATGTTAGCTCCTGGTGAGAGCTCTCTTTCTGGCTTGCAGGCTGTAGCTTCCTTGTTGTTTGCATGTATGATGGAGAGAGATGGAGAGAGATCCCTCCCTTCTCCTCTTCATGTAAGAGCTTTAAAGCTATCAGATCAGGTTGTTTCTCTTGTGGCCTCATTAAACTTTAATTACCTCCTCAATGTCCTATCTCCAAGTGCAATAACATTAGGGTTAGTGCTTCAATATATGAATTGGGGGAACACACCAGTCCATTGCAAAAGTTTAGTTCTGAACTTCATGAACAAATTGATGTTTCTAGAAGAGTGTTTCTCTATAGTGTATTTTCACTCCATCCTTCAGTGACTGAATAAAACTTTTACACATATCTATGGCAAGATAAAAGCTGAGATTATGTACCTTCCATATGTGAATGGTACATATGTGAATATATATCTATATACTTATATATACCTGAATATATGTATACATATGCATATGTACATATGTGAATATATATCTATATACTTGTATATACCTGAATATATGTATACATATGCTTTTATATATATTCAAATATATATGTGTATATATACTTATACCTACTTAAATATATACATATATATACTGATATATACTTGAGTGTATATATACTTTCCAGTCTTAGAAACATTATTGATGATTTAAATGCTATTGTAGGTAAAAATGGGGATTTACCATTATAATCTCCTTGAATAAACAGTGGCATCAGAGGCAGAAGCAAGTCAGAGTCTAGTCACTGGCATATGGAGAGGAAAGCTCTATACATATCTAGAAGGGAGGCCCGTCTATCTTGTTTCCATCTCTGTCTCACACACTGACATCTTTATTCAGAAGCCACATGCAATGCCCAGGAAAAGCAGAAGCAGTTCGGCTTGTCAAATGAATGTCTTTATTATGTTTTAAATAACTAGATTTCCTTATATTTATATTTTGCTGATTTGAGTAGATAGTATAGACATTTGTTAAAAAATAAAGAGTATTTAAAAGAGTAAACAGTGCAAAATAAGTTACTCTTTCTCCCCAGTTTTAAAGTTTTCTCGAACCTTTTATTGGAGGCAGTCATTATTCATATGAGTAATTAGCATGTATACAAGTGAGAGTTCTTATATAGATTCCTTGTTTTTGTGTTTTTTAAATGCTATACCAAAAGGCATTATTGTGCATTGTGCATTTTTTACAATAATTCAGTATCATTCATTTATTTAGAGCTTCAAATCATGTAAATTATTTTACTAAATGCATTGATGATAATTTTTCTGTTTGTTAATGACAGAAACTTAGGGTATGTGTGTGTGTGTATTCCTACTACATATGATATTGCAACAAGTCACCTTAAAATGTTTTCTTTAATAAAGTCATTTGAGAAAGTGAAACAGAGATATGAGGTTATACAAAGTAGAAAAAAATTACAATAATACAATTAAAGAGCTGGATTATATATACATTCATGTAGCTGGCATCAAAATGGCTGATTAAAGGAATCTTGTATTTGCCTCCTCTGCCAAGAAGAACAAAAACAATAAGTAATCACACTTTTAATAAATTTTCTAAGGGGAATACTGGAATTGAACAGAGAAGTGACAAGAAAAACCCAAGGCAAGAAAGGAGAAAAAAAGCTAGGCATCCTGCTCAGCTGGGATCAGCTAAGAACCCAGAGAGCCTCCACAATGTAGGAAAGAGTGAGAGACCCCAGTGGCCCACATTCCCAGCACAAACTCCTACAATTCTAGCCATCAGGGAGCCCGTCAACCCTTTCAGTCTCTACAATTAACATAGGGAGCTTCCCAAGACTATGTGATGGCATTGCTCCAGAGAAGAAGCCTGCACTGGGTCCCATGCATTCCCTAATTCCTAAGCAGTCACAGCAATGCACTATTTTGAGACCCTAGCTCACAGTAGACTGCCTTCTGCCCTTGGCCTATACTCCCTGCATCTCTACATCCCTGTAGCCCATTGACATCTGCCAACTGCAGTCACCACCAAACTGGCTGCTGCCACCAGTGCCAAATTGCAAGCCATTGGCAGTGACTCCACTACTCCCAGAAGCAGAGCAGGTCTGCGTTTTTACATGTCCTGATGACACTCTCCCACCTTCAGCCATCCCTACTGCTGGCTGCTATTACTAGGGTCCAAGCTCCCAAGCCACCTGTCTATGGCTCCCATCACTGAAAGTCACCCTACCCTCATCAGCAGCTGGTGTGCAGAGCAGCTGCTATAGCCCCACCTAAGCATTTTGCAAAGGGCTTTTGAATTATCCCACCAAAGCCAGTGCTGACACATATCATCAGGGAGCCTGAAAGCAGTTCCACCCAGGCCAATTTTTTTCCTACCAGTACCCAAGCACGCTATCCAGGGGTCTGTGGATCATCCTGTCCCATCCACCAGCACTGGTACCCGAGAACTTTCCCCAGGTGCCTGAGGTTGAGCCGACTCAAACTGCTGCTGCCACCACAGCCTGCGCGCGCGCGCACACACACACACACACACACACACACACACACACACACACACACAGACACACACACACCCCAATTGCAGGCCTGAGGACAGGCCCACCCAGCACATCACAGTCACCATAAACACCAGTATGGATCATTTGGGAGCCAGAAGTTCCTCCCACCACTGTTAGTGCCATCACCCATGCCATGGGCACTTTCCAGGGGGCTGAATACCCACAAGGCCACCTGGCCCACCACTACCACTGGCTCCTGAGCAAAATTTTTGGAGGCCCAAGAATTTGACATCTGAACTTGATAACAATGATACCAGGGTATGCCACCCTGGACCCCAAAGACAAGTAAACTTGGTGCAGTATTGTCATGACTGGAGCCTGAGGACTGGCCTACTGGCATTCCCACCCCTTGCAAGACTTCACCACAGCCTCCCAATAACGACTACAGCCTAAACCACTGAGGAAATTACAGACACCACTGACTTTTTTGGAGCTGAAAAACAATTATATAAAGACACCGCTGTGCCCACCTAGAATCAAAGTCAAAGTACTCTACCCATCCAATGTTATAGATATGTGCTCAGGAAAAAAATCCTCCTTTATGAAAGCAAATGTTTTAAATTGGATGAAGCAACTATTAAACTTGATGCACAAATACCAATGTAAGAAATGAGAAGAAATGGAAAAGCAAGTATATATGACAGCTCCAAAGAAACACAATAAGTCTCCAGCTATAGATTCCAATTAAAAATATAATAATATTCTGAAAAACATTCAAAAAATAGTAATTACAAAAAGTCAATGAGATAGAAGAGAACACAGATAAACAGTACAGTACAAATAAATCAGAAAAACAATTCAGGATATAAATAAGAAATGTATGAAGAGATTAGATATTATAATAAAGAACTAAAGAGAGTTCCTGAAACTGAAGAATTTATTGAGTAAAACACAAAATGCATTTGAAAGCTTTAGCAATAGTCTAGGTCAAGAATAAGAAAGAATGCCAGAAATTGAAGGTAAGCCTTTGAACATAACAGAGTCAAAAAGGAAAAAATAAAGAAAAAAGTGGTTAAAAATGAATAAATTTTACATGACATATGGAGCATCATAAAGGAATCAGTGTTCTAATTTTTAGTGTCCTTGAAGGAGATGAAAAAAATGAAAGGAATAGAAAACCAATGCAACAAAATAATGGCTGAAAATTTCTCAAGTCTAGCAAGAGATTGAGATATTTATATACAGGAAGCTCAGAGGTCAAAATAGAAAATTTAAAAAGATCTTTTTATTGGCACATTGTAAACAAATTGCCAAAAGTCAGACAAAGAATTCTGAAATGGTAAGAGAAAATCAACTAGTCAGTTATAAGTAGTACCATATCAGATTAATGGTGGGTTTTTCAGCAGAAACTTTAAAGGCCAGGGAAAATGGGATGATATATTCAAAGGGATGAATTATTAGCATACTAATTATTTGCAAACTAGTTTATCTGAAATAATAACCAGAATCTAGATAGAGCTCAAAAAACTCAGTAACAAAAAATTTAAGAATTCTACTAAAAATGAGCAAAAGTTTTGTGTAAACATTTCTGAAAGCATACAAATGTCAAACAGGTATATGAAAAGGTGATCGACATCAATGATCATCAGAGAAATGCAAATCAAAACTACCCTGAAAGAGTTTTGATGTCACTCAGTTAAAATGGCTCATATCTGAAAGATAGACAGTAACAAATGCTGGCAAGGAAATAAATATATCAAAGGTATATATGCAATATACCTCCATGTATATTGCATCACTATTCACAATAGTCAAGATTTGGAATCAACCTAAGTGTCCATCAACAGTTGAATGGATAAAGAAAATGTGGTACATATACACAGTGAAGTACTATTAAGCTATAAAAAAAAATAAGATGTTGTCATTTGAAACAACACGAATGGAACTAGAGGACATGGTTAACTGACATAAGCCAAGCACAGAAAAAAAAAATAGCATCTTCTCACTTCTTCATAGGAGCTAAAAATTAAAACAATTGAACTCATGGTGATAGAGAATAGAATGATGTTTACCTGATGCTGGGATGGGTAATGTTGAGGGAAAGTGGGGGTGGCTAATGGCTACACAAATATAGCTAGATAGAATTCATAAGATCTAGTATTTGATAGCACAACAACAGGGTGACTACAGTCAGTGCTAGTTTATTATACATTTTAAAATAACTAAAAGTTTATATTTGGAATGTTTGTAACACATGGAAAGGATACATATTTGATGTGAGAAAAACCCTATTTTACCCTCATATCATTACTATACATTGTACACCTATTTTCAAATATTTAATGTACCCAATAAATATATATACCTACTATCTACTCACTAAAATTAAATAGTAAGAGAAGGATTATACTCCCATTAACAAACCATCCCCACACCCCGTACTCTTCCCAGGATCTGGTGATGACACTACCATTATCGCATTCACAAGGAAAATGCTTCCAGCTTTTGCCTATTCAGTATGGTGTTGGCTGTGGGTTTATCAGAGATGACTCATTATTTTCCATTATGTTCCTCTGATTCCTAGATTGTTGAGGGTTTTTAACATAAAGGGATATTTCATTTTGTAAGAAGTATTTTCTTCACCTATTAAGATGGTCAAGTGGTTTTTGTTTTTAGTTTGTTTATGTGATGAATCACATTTATTGATTTGTGTATGTTGAACCAACCTTGCATCCCACGAAAAAAGCCTACTTGACCATAGAGAATTATCTTTTCGATATGTTGCTAGATTTGATGATCTCCAAGTATTTTGTTGAGAAGTTTTGCATTTATATTCATCAGGGATATTGACATAAAGTCTTCTTTTTGTTGTATCTGTGCCAGTTTTTAATATAAAAATGAAGCTAGCATCATAGAATGAATTTGGGAGGAATTCCTCCTGGATTTTTGGGAAAAGTTTCAGTAAGATTGTTATCAGCTTTTTTTTATATGTTGGTTAAAATTCAGCTGTAACTCCGTCTGGTCCAGGGCTTCTTCTGGTTGGTAGGTATTTTTTTTACTAATTCAATTTTGGAACTCATTGTTGGTCTGTCCTGGTATTGTTTCTTCCTGGTTCAATTTTGGGAGGTTTTATGCTTTCAGGAATCTATCTGTTTCTTCTAGGTTTTCTAGTTTGTGTGCATAGAGGTGTTCATAATGGTTTATTAGGGCCCCTTGTATTTCTGTGCACTTCAGTGGTAATGTCATCTTTGTCATTTCTGATTCTGCTTATTTGAATCTTCTCTCTGTTTTTCTTTACTAGTCTAGCTAGTGTTCTATTAATCTTATTAATTATTTCAACTAACCAACTTTTGGTTTTATTAATCTTTTGTACAGATCATTGCTTTAATTTCTTAATTTCATTTGGTTCAGTTTTGATTTTGACTATTTTCTTCTGCTAGTTTTGGGTATGGTTTGCTCTTGTTTTTCTAGTTCCTCTCAGTGTGATGTTAGATTATTAATTTTCATTCTTTCTAACTTTTTGATATAGATTTTTAGCACTATAAACTGTCCCTGTACATCACTCCTATTCAACACATTACTGGAGCCTTAGCCAGAACAATTGGGCAAGAGAAGTAAATAAAAGGCATCCAAATAGAAAGAGAGGAAATCAAACTGTCTCTTTTCACAGACGACACCATTCTATACCTAGAAAAACCCATGGTATCTGCTCACTGATGCTGAGAACTGATAAAATACTTCAGTAAAGTTTCAGATTACAAAATCAATGGACAAAAATTAGTAGCTTTTCTATACACCAATAACCACCAAACTGAGTAAAATCAAGAATGCAGTCCCATTCACAAAAGCCACAGACAGAATAAAATACCTAGAAATGGAGTTAATCATGGAGGCTTGAGTTCTCCACAATGATAATTACCAGACACTACTCAAAGAAATGGGAGATGATACAAACAAATGGAAAAATATTTCATGCTCCGGGATAGGAAAAATCAATATATTTCAAATAACCAAAGCAATATACTGATTCCATGCTGTCATAATACCAACACCATTTTTTTATGGAATTAGAAAAAAGTTCTTAAAAATTTATATAAACCAAATAGATCTTGAATAGCCAAAATAATCCAAAACAAAAAGAACAAAACTGGAGGCATCACGTTTCCTGACTTCAAACTATACTTCAAGGCTACAGTAACCAAAACAGCATGGTAATGGTAGAAAAACACACATATAGGACAATGGAATAAGTTAGAGAACACAGAAATAAAGCCACAAGCCTAAAACCATTTGGTCTTCAAAAAAATCAACAGTAACAATCAAGGAGAAAGGAATCCATATTCAATAACTGGTGCTTCAATGACTGGCTTGCCATATGCAGAAGATTGAAACTGGATTTTTTCCCTTTGCCATATAGAAAAATCAAATCAAAATGGGTTAAAGAGTTAAACATAAAACCTAAGAATTTAAAAACCAATCATGGAAACCTAGGAGATACCATCTGTACATAGGCCAAGACAAAGACTTTATGACAAAGACTCCAAGCAATTGCAACAAAAATAAAAATTGATGAATGAGACCTAATTAATCTAAAGAGCTTCTGCACAGCAAAATAAACTATAAACAGATCTACAGCATGGAAAAAAAATTTGCAAACTACGAATCCAACAAATATGTAATATCCAGAATCTATAAGGAATACAGACAAATCAACAAGCAAAAAAACAAACAACTCATTAAAAAATGGGCAAAGATATCAACAAACACTTCTCAAAAGAAGACATACTCGTGGCCAACAAGTATATGAAAAAATGTTCAATATCACTGATCATTAGAGAAATGTGAATCAAAACCACAATTAAATACCATGATACCAGTCAAAAAGGCTATTATTAAAAGGTAGTAAAATAAAATAAAAAATAAAAGCAGATTTTGTCTTGTCAAAGTTGCAGAGAAAAGGGAACACTTATTTACTGTTGGTGGGAAGGTAAGTTATTTTAGCTACTGTGGTAAAGAGTTTGAAGGTCTCTTAAAGAACTTAAACAGAATTGCCATATGACTCAGCAGTACCATTACTGGGTATACATATCCAAAAGAAAATAAATCATTCTACCATAAAAACACATGCATTCTTATGTTCATTGCAGCACTTTTCACACTAGTGAAGACATAGAATAGACCTACATGCTCATCAACAGCGGACTGGATAAAGAAAATGTGGTAACTATAACCCATGAAATACTACAAAGCCATAATAAGAAAAAAAAATCTTGTCATTTGTAGCAACATGGATGAAGCTAGAAACCATTATCCTAAGTGAATTAAGGCAGGAATAGAAAACCAAATTTGGCATGTTCTTAGTTTTAAATGGGAGCTAAACCTTAAGCACCCATGGATATAAATATGGGAACAATAGACACCAGGGCTTACTTGAGGCTGGAGGGCGAGAAGAGGGTGAAGATTGAAAAACTACCTATCATTTACTGTGCTCACTTCCTGAGTAACAAAACAATTTGTATGACAAATCCCAGTGACACACAATTGACCCATTAACAAACCTGTATATCTATTCCCTGAACCTAAAATAAAATTTGAAAAAAATTGTGTGCCTATATATACATATTTAGTTGTAAAATTGTATACACACACACACATATATGTGTGTGTGTGTGTGTGTGTATATATATATATATATAGTTAATACATTCTTTTTATTTTATGGCTCTTGATAGTTTTGTTTTTCTACTAGCCATCTGAGGTTCAATATTTCTCCCTACATACTGATGAGATTTACTCTTCCTAATAGTTTCTTAATTCTCAGAGCACATTACATATATAAAACCATAATTTCCTAAATCAAATACCATTTACATTTGATTTATAATCTCTATGACCAAAAAGCCACTAAAGAATTTGAAATTAAGAAACTTGTTTTATTTTAGTTTAGTTTATTCCGTTTATTTGTTTATTTTGAGACAGTCTCACTCTGTCATCCAGGCTAGAGTGCAGTGGCATGATCACTGCTCACTGCAACCTCAACCTCTCGGGCTCAAATATCCTCCCTCCTCAGCCTCCACAGTAGCTGGGACTACAGGTGTGTGCCACCATGCCCAGCATTTTTTGTTATTTTTTGTAGAGATGGGGTTTGCCATGTTTCCCAGGCTGGTCTCAAATTCCTAGGCTCAGGTGATGTTTCCGCCTTGGCCTCTGAAAATGCTGGGGTTATAGGCATGAGCCACCACACCTGGCCAATTTGTTTTAATAAAGCAAATTAATAGGTATAACTTTTCCCTTTTAGTGTTGATAATCAAATTAAAGTCATATGTTATTAAAATTTTTGCCTACCTGCTCAAAATATAACTTTGTACTCAGCTAACTGCCTAGAAAGATACTATGGATACAGTCAGGTTTCTGTTATTATTCATTATTATTATCATTCTTACTTTAAACTAGTCTTTGCTTTTTTTTCTTTTCAACTGCAAAGGTTAAAAAGTTGATACAGAAACACTAGATTCATATTAAGCAGTAGAGAAATAAAGAGGTAAGCATTAAATTCTGTTGCTATATTCATGATAATAAAATTTATTACCCTGACATGGATTCTTAACATTCAATTTGTAACCCCATAAGAACTATGTGTGTATATATTAATCTGTTTTCTTTCCATGAAGACCACAAAGCTAGATATTTCCTTTTCTCTATTTGAGCAGGTATACCTAAGCCCAATTATTTTTTCTACTGGTACAGAAAAGTGGAAAGTTTTATAATAAAAACACCATTGTTATTGTATTAGAAGTATTGTATAATAATTACAACTCTGAGATTTGAAAGAGACAACTTCCGATGTCTAGAAATTACCAGATATGTGGCTATGGAGAAGTTACTTAATTTCTCTAATTCTGTTTTCTCATATGAGGATTAAACAATACCTACCTCATTTGGTTGGTGCAACAATAAATTATTTAACAAATGTAAAATATTTAGAATAGTGCTTGAATTACACTAAGCCAAAACAGTTTTAGCGTATATAAGGTAATATTCATATGTATTAGCTAATTAACAGTCAATAGCTTCATCGGAAAACTATCTGATTAACGGAAAGGCAAACTGTACATACCTAATTAAGAAGAAATCCAGGGGTATATAGACCCCATCAATACAAAGAATTAGAATTTGGAAGGAGAATATTCACGTATACATTTAATGTAAAATAAATATTATTATCATTCTTATATTTTTACATTCCTACATATAGAGTAAAAACTTATTAAAGGGAATACAGGCAGAAACAAATCTGCATTTAGCATTTGATTTTTACATAAGTATATAGTTGTAATTAAATTTAATAAATGCCATTTAAAAGTATAATTTATTTAAAGTTGGTATTTAGAGTTATTTATATTTCTGAATTATTTAAATTCTACTGATTAGAGAAATAAAGTTGTGTATTTGAAATATACCAAGAATATATGAGTACCATCTAGTGGTAAAACAGGAGGTAAGCAACAAGCTATGGGAGAAAGGTATTTAAAGTAGGTCAGAACACATGGCCACAATAAGCTTATAAAATAGAAAAGTTTATGGCCACAGTCAATAAATATAAAAGAGCCCATGTCTTCATTATTCTAAGTATAGGTTTTTAAACACTAAAATACTTGAGTAGCTACAAACAGGGGACCAATGTACTTCTGCCAAAACTATGTTTCTGATCACATTTCTGTATAATGAAGACACAATAATGAATCCACAAGTGAATTCTAGAATCCTAAATGTTGGAGTTTTTGGAATGTAACCCTTATATTGACACAAATAATAGGAATGCTGCACAACTGTGGAAAAAGTTGGGGGCAGGAAATACTGTATAATGTATAGAAGTAAGCATTTTTCAAACTGTATTGTCACAGACTTTCCCTGAGGCATAACAGCAATTATTAAAGAAATAATAATTTATTTTGAAAGATACTGCTTTAATTATCCTAGAAATAAATGTGAGACTAACTGAACCTTGGCCACGGCTACATAATTAGTAAGCGATGGAAGCAAGAATTCAAAGTCATTACCACCTGGAAACAGAATTCAAACTCAACAAAAGAAAAGATGATTTCTCAAAATATTTGTTAAAAAAGTATATTTAGGATGAATGGTGTAATAGTGCCTAAAGAAATAACAACAGTAAACACCCTGATAAAATAAGTTTATGAAATCCCAAGTTGTATCAAATGAGTTAAAATTAGCAGTACATGAAAACTGTGTGTTTCATTTAGGTATTATGAGCAAAAAACACCAAGCAAAATAATCCACACATAATCAAAAAACAAAAAAAGACAAAAGTTCATTTTTTGGCTACAAGACTAAAGATTTTGCTAAGATTTTTATATGAAAATTGTTAGATACCAAAATTAACTCAACAAATTCATTATGCATGTGTATGTGTATATACTGCATGTGAACATCTTTTCAAAGTATAGATACCATAATTCACAAACATCTGTGTCTGTCAATTTAATTCACTTGATAATTCAATCTCTACTTTTACTTATAAAGGTTCACTAGGATTTCATCATAAGAATTTGAGCAATGTAATGGCAGAAAAAATAATAATAATAATTACACTGAAGGACTTGAAGTAGTTTCAAGGACTTCGAGGCCAATTATAAAGTTAGAGGCCACACAGCCTTCCACAAGACTGCCCTCTCTTTGGACACCAACAGTAAGTTCAGGGAGTTCCCAAACCATTCTCAGATTCAACAATTTGTTAAGAGGACTCAGAATTTACTGAAAGCTCTTTCTTTCACAGTTACAGCTTATAAAAGAATAGAGAGATACAGATTAAAATCAGCCACAGAAACAGAGGCATGGGCAGAGTTCATAAGGGCTCCAAACATAGGGCTCTGTTGTTCTTTCCCTGTGGTGCAGGGGTCTTGGAAGGGGATTTTCTGATAAGTATTAATATGTCCTGCTTTCGTGTACTCCTTAAATTCCCATAGTGATTCCCATAGGGCAATGTCCCATATGGACATGTCTTTAATGAGCCCTTGTGAATGACCATATGACCAGTCCATCACTTACCAGCCTTGAGTCAATAAAAAACAAAACATAAGGGCAAACCACATGTAATACAGCCCACAGAGCTGATTTGCATTTATCTTCTTCAATCAGAGTACCTGTTTCCAAATAGGATACTGCCTATACACCTTGGAACTGCCACCTATACACCAAACAATGTTTTGTTAGTCAGCAAAGAGCTGTGAGTTGGTTTCTAAGTGGCCAAGTGCTCACTATAACTAACAGCTCCTCAGAGGGGTTCAAAATCATCCCTAAGGGAACAGAGCCTGCCTCTTCAGGAGTACCTTCTTGTATTCTCCTGGTAGCATGTTACGGTGTACACTATTTCCAATTAATTAAGGAACACTTAGGGATACTGTTTTCCTTATTAGACTGTTTCTTTGATATCACCCAAGACAATATGGGAATAATAGGATTCATGGTTACATTATGTCCTTTAGATGTAGAGGCAGTTTTAATTAATGTTCAATAGCAAACTAATAATTCCCTCCCACATGGAAATTTTCTGGTCCAAAATCTCAGAGTTGTTTCTGGGTGGCACTCACAGACTTTTGCCATAATCTCCAGTCTGTTTTCCACACAGAGTTATTATACAGCAAAGTAACAACCTGGATGGGCTTATGGTTCCCATTTACTATAGCCAATTGATATTTGGGAAAGGGTTGGTTTATATGCAGTTTGCTTTATAATACTAGGCAGGGGACACATTCACCAGTCAGACCCAATATCCATTCCCATAATACATTTAGGGAAAGAAAACAAAACCACTTTACACAAAGTTTGTTCAAACATATCCATTTGTATTTATTTATTATTGTATCCTTCATCAAAACGTTGTAACCACGGGACATGGAATTTCCATTTCAAGAAGTCTGAGATTTGTTTCTACCTTCTACCTGTCTTACCATTTCAGTCACTCATATGCATTTAGCCTTGGATTCCCAGTGAAGGACCCATAACTACTTGTCTGCTCCTATCTTGATTAGATTGCAGACTTACTGTCCCAGCCAATTGAAGGTTAAGTTTCCATCTTTGCCTGTGACTCTTTAAATTTCTTTAAAGTAGAGCAAATATGCAGATTTGTTTAGATTTCTTCAACATTGTGAAATCAGCAGGGGCTATTTGTCCATCCAACTTCAGAGAGTGCTATATTATCTGTTTTGACTTCATCAATTTCTACTGTATTTACTCCTTTTCTTAGTAACTCTAAAAATGAAGATGTCCAGGCTGCTGGATGAAACCCTTTACTCTCTCATTTTGCCTTCTCCATTCTTTTGCAAATTTGCTCAGTCTTCTTCATTGTCTTCTTAGCATAAATTTTCTCTTCGGTAGTGGCTCTAAGGCTAGAGGTCAAAGCTCTGACCTGCCAAGATCCAAGGTTGGCCCAGCATCAGGATCCACACCAATACTCTCTTACTTTTATTTTAGTTATTATAGATAACATTTAACAGAGATTTCAAATTTTGCTTTTTTCTTCTTATTTACATTTCTTAATGCATCCAGTGAGCCAACTCCTCAGAAGTTGGACCCATGATTTCTAAATTTCATTGGTAACTTTTGCTCCAGTAACTGATTGCAGCCTAGCTACAGTTGCACAAAACGGGACACCTCAAGGCCGTGCAGGAATAAGAGGTTTGTCATTCCTTCCCGCTCATCCTTCTTCTTTCTTAACCACATAGTTCAATAAGTTAGGATTATTTTTAGCACATCCCATTTCTCATAGCAAATGCTCAGAGTTAACCAAACTGCAATGTTTGAGGGCAAAATCCTCCACAGAACTGCTTTCACTTCTAATGCCATCTGAAATTTTGGAGGGTTTCCAAAAAGACCCTTAAGCTTTAATACTTTGCTAGAACAAGTCACATAACTCACTGAAAGTAATTATTCTCACAGCTGTGATACAGTTTAAAATTAGCCAAAAGAAGATATAGAAACGTTCCAAATGAAATTATTTTGTTGTCCTCTCTTTGGAGAGTCAGGGCACCTTGCTTTTGAGATATCAATATGCAACAGTGCACACGGAGTACTGCCAAACAATGAGAATCACTCAATCCTCTCTTTGGAGTTTTACTGGGGATCCCTTGGGTAGACATAATTGATTTATTACTTTTCCATGTGATGTAGCTCAGCCTCTGAGTTGACTCATATTGCATGACCCAGTGACCCCAACCTAAGCCTTGTTGTTGGTCTTTCTGGCATGATTAGCCACAACTCTATTTAAAGATATAGAGGTTTGGCCATCCCCACCTGAAACAAAGGCACTCTTACTAGGTAAGGTCTATATTACCTACCAGAAACTGAGGCCAAATGCCAGCTATCTCTTTTGGCATGGCATTGACATACACAGTAGATCACAACAAGGTATTAGACTGAGAGGTTGGTAGGGTTTAATATGGAGCCCTACCATATAAACCTTTATCTGTATATATTAACAAGCACCTGGGAAAACAAGTTTAGTTTACAATGTGGGACTTTATTCGAAAATAGTAAGACAGCTTTATACCTTTACCATATGTTAAGTTTGAAGAAACTTGAATGCGTATGTTTGTGTATATTCAGTCAGCCTCTCATATCCATGGGTTTTGCACCAGCTGATTCAAGCAACCATAGATCAAAAGTAATAAAGAAATTTTAAAAAATACAATAGAAATTTATACAAATACAAATATAACTATTTACATTGAATTTATAATATATTAGGTAATATAAGTAATCTAGAGGTCATTTAAAACATATAGAAAAGTATGGGTAGGTTATATGCAAACTCCATGCCATTTTATATATGAAGCTTGAGCATTTATGATTTTTGTATTTCCGCAGGCTCCTGAAACCCATACTCCACTAATACCAAGGAACAACTATATATATATATATATATATATATATGTGTGTGTGTGTGTGTGTGTGTGTATACACACATATACACATATATGTATATACACACATATACACATATATGTATATACACACATATACACATATATACACACACACACATACATATGTATATTTTTTTCCTTTAGCTACCGTGTACACAATTGATTTCTTAAAGGTGAAAGTGGAAGCTGGACAGCCAATTGGAAATCCATTGCAGAAATTCAAGTTAAAATAGATGGCCAGAGATGGTGGATAATATGTATGACTATAATAATCTGAGAAGTGATATTGGTGATGAGCTCTATATGGAAATATATTAAACAAGTTATGATATTATTTTGTATACACAGAATGATAAATACTGAACAGCTGGAATGCCTTCAAAGTGTAATTATTCCAGTAATTTCACTGGAGTTATAGATGAAAAAAATAGGTAATACTATTTTTTAGTCTAAAAATGTAGATACATAATTAGTCTAAATAAGCAGATACATAATTTTCAAGGGGAGTACCATATATGATAGTCAGGAAATATAACCCCATCTGCACACACACCAAAAGTGGCATGAAGGTATATGTTTTTGCTCACATCCTTGGGAATATTTTATTAGTGTGGGGCAAGAATGGCAAGGGAACAGGGCAGGCTTGGAAAGTTTGCTTCCTCTATGTCTCAGTGTGTTTTGTGTTGCTATGGCAGAATATGATAGACTAATTTATAAAGAAAAAAAACATTTTTGGCTCATAGGTCTAGAGGCTGGGAAGTCCTAGAACATGAAGCCAGCAACTGGTGAGAACCTTCTTGTTCAATCTAAGTCATCCCATGGAATAAGGTGGATGGGCAAGAAACTGTAAGAACAAGAGAGTAAGAGCAGACTGAAGTTAATTTTATAACAATCCACTCCTGTGATAACTAACCCACTTCCACAATAACAACATTAATGCATTCATGAGAGCAGAGCCCACATGACCTCTAATTAAGTCATGCCCCTCAATCCTGTTGCATTGGGGATTAGGTTTCCAACACAGGAACTTTGAGGGACTCATTTAAAGCTTGGCATTCCACCAAGGCCTACTAGGCATTAAGTGGTTAAACCAGGGCTCTGAGCCTTATAAAGCTATCAATATTGGCAGCACATGTGAGGTGCTGAAACATGGCGTAGACTTTAAAATCAGAGTTAGCAATTAAGGCAGAAAGTCAGCATGTATATAAAAAGTTTGTGAAGTTTGTTGAAACTGAAGAGATGGTTTTTCAGATGGGGTGGTGGGTATATGCAGGCACCTGGAGAAAGACAGATACTCTAAAGTTTGTGGTAGAAAAATGCTCTGGTTAGAAAAACAAAAATTTTCATTTCTTTTTAGGATTATCCACTAACCTTTTGTGATAGGCTGAAAAATGCCTTCCCCTTGCCAAAGATAGACATGTCCCTTATCCCTGAAAACTGTATTTTGCCCCATATGGCAAAGGACATTTGTGGGTGTAATTAAGGAACACACAATGGGAAGGTTATTCTGGATAATTCAGGTGAGCCATGACAATGTCGAAGTTTACATAAGCCCTCTGATTGTAGAACACAGTGATAGCTTAAAAAAAAATCTCTCTACACTTCTATTTTCTGGAAAAATGGCTACTGCAAAGAATCCCCCTTCTCTATGTGACTTAGGTAAAACTCACAGATCACTCCCTTGTTTACATATGACAACATCAGACACACACTTTCCTAATTGTCCTTTTTTACCCCACAAATGATTGGTTGAACTGTTTTGCCCACACTGATCAATCAGAAGAAAATCATTCTTAACCAGACCTTAGTTAAAATTCTCTCTTTCCCCAGAACCCTGAATGTTGACCACCCTCAGCAAACACAACCCTCCTTAAGGGCCTGTCTCAGGAAATACTCTGGCCTCAGGGTTACACATTCTCTGATCTACTACCTAAGCACACTGCTCTTTTATTCCACTTCCTCACACCCTCTAGCTTTACTTTTTTCATTAAAAAAAAAAATTATTTTGCCTGACTCCTGAGACATTTGTTTTATTCTTAGTGTATTTCTCCCTATTGCAATAATATTTTTAAATAGCATACTGGTTTCCTTTTACCTGACTCCAAACTTGTTTATAGTTGGACAGCCCAATGTAACCACAAGATTGCTTACAGGAGGGAAGCAGTAAAGTTGGAGTGAGAGAGAAGATGTGATGACAGAAACACAGGTTGGAGTGAGGCCAGCACAAGGCGCCATGACCATGAAATGCAGGCAACTTCTGGACTCTGGAAACGGCCAGGGAATGGGTTCTCCCCTACAGCCTCTAGAAGGAAGCGGGCCAGTAGATGCCTTGACTTCAGCCCTGAGAAACTGATTTTTCAATTTCTGACCTACAGAACCTCTAAGATAATAAATATATGTTGTTTGAAGCCACTGAATTTGTGGTAATTCATTATGGCAACAACGGGAAATTAATTCACTCCTCCTGTAAGTTTGGCCAAAATATTTTGAAATTTCTCTGTGTGTAAAATGACCGCATTTGAATGGGTTAATTTCCGTGGATATTTTTAAGTCTAATCTTCTGTGATAGTATTGTGATCAAGACCAAGCAGCACCGTTTTACAAGTTTGAATGCAGACATTGGAAATCATGGATCAAGGCCTGGCATGGTGGCTCACACCTATAATCCCAGCACTTTGGGAGGCTGAGGTGAGTGGATCACTTGAGGTCAGGTGTTCAAGACCAGTGTGAGTGACCAACATGGAAAAACCCCATCTCTACTAAAAATACGAAAATTAGCCAGACATGGTGGTGTGCACCTGTAGTCCCAGCTACTTGGAAGGCTGAGGCCTTAGAACTGCTTGAGCCCAGGAGATGGAAGTTGCAATGAGCTGAGATCATGCCACTGCACACCAGACTGGGTGACAAGGGAGACTCTATCTCAAAAAGAAATGCATATATATATATATATATATATATATGTATATATGTATATATGTATATATATGTATGTATATATATATATACATATATATATATAGTACGTCAACAGGAAGATGGTTTGGTCTAAGTAGAAAGGTGGTATAATAATGCTAAGAAGAATGAGGGCATTTCAAATTTTTGGTGTCATGTGCTTACGATTAAATCAGAAAAAGACTAGGCAGCTATGATAGAATACAAACATGGGATTATAAGGATTCAGAAACAAAACTTAATTACCAAATAAATTAAAAACTCACATAACCAGACGAAGAGCTCAGCCACCAAGATAGTGGTTGAGAGGTAATGTTAGCAGCAGCAAATCCAACAGGTCTTCAGCAAACTTGATTCTTTCCCTTTCAACCCTTGATTTGGGGTTTTTATACTTTGGCTTGCTTCCGGGGTTTGCATCTCTCCTCTCTTGATTCTTCCTTTGGGGTGGGCTGTCTGCATGCTCAGTGGCCCAGCAGCACTTGGGAGGGGCGCACGTGCAGTGTGTTTACTGAAGTTGTGCATGTCCTCATTTGAGGCATTTTTCCTTGACTAGTCAAGCGTTCCTGGAGGAAGGTCGTAGACCTATTAAACTCCACCATTTTGCCTCTAGTGCTCATGCTTAAGCCCATTCACCTAACTCCTGAGATCTTATCTGGAAGCTACTGATCACGTTTCAGGTGTTTTCTACCTGCTGGAAGAGTGCCTTTCCCTGGCTGGCTGCAACCCATTATTATTTTAGAGAGACAGTTTAACAACTACCTGACCATCACCTGATGGTCACCTGACATTCCTGGTTGGTGGGAGCATGGCTGCAGGGCCTCTTCTGCCCTGCTCATGTCTGCCTAACTACTTACTCTAACAGTAAAAATGGGAGCAACAGCCAGGATGACTTCATGGAGACTCCATTCCCATTCCTCCCAGGTTCAGAATTAGGTAGATCACAGAGTTATCAGTGGGCTATTTCTGAGGTCCAGCCCAAGCCTGGAAATGTGAGCCTCAGAAGTGGAAGTCATGTAGTTCAGGAGGCAAAGTAATTTTAGAGCCATGTCAGGAAAACGCAGAGCTGTGACAATGTGTCAGTGTCACAAAAGCATAACCTTTTGTGTGAACTTCAGATAAAGCAGGAGTAATTACCGCAAATTACCATTAAAGTATTTCAAAAAAGTAAGCCAATTAGTGATATTTTAAAGCTTCTCACAAGTTCTAGGACTTGGAAAATTATATATTCTTATGAATAAGATGCCTCTTAGAATACCGATATTTTTAATTATATACAAATTTATGTGTGAGTGTGTGTGTGTGCATGTATTATAAACAGGCATGAGCTTCTTACGAAGTGATAAGGTTGTGTTAGCTGGCTCAGGCCAGCACAACAAAATACAAGAGACCGGATGTGTTAAACAATAGAAGTGTGTTTTCTCTGAGTCCTGGAGATTAGAAGTCCAAGATAAGGGTGCCAGCCCAGTTGGGTTGTGGTGAGGAGTCTTTTCCTGGC
The DNA here is from genome assembly GCF_000001405.40 of Homo sapiens. Classification (NCBI taxonomy): domain Eukaryota; kingdom Metazoa; phylum Chordata; class Mammalia; order Primates; family Hominidae; genus Homo; species Homo sapiens. The sequence continues at coordinate 23,996,674 of NC_000005.10, read as the reverse complement.
TGCAGACTTTTCACCATGTCCTCACCAGTAGAAAGAGAACTCTGGAATCTCTTTCTCTTCTGCAAAGGTAATCAGTTCGATCTTATCAGACATCCATTCTTAAGACTTCATTTAACCTTAATCACGTCTTTAAAGGCTCTATCTCCAATACACTCACATGAGAGGTTAAGGCTTCAATAAGTGAGTTGTGGGAGAACAGGATTCCATCCATACCAAACATAGTGTGAACATATCACACATATTTAATTTAGGATTTTATAGCATTAAATAAATCCTGTTTATTTTGGTAAAAACAAGGTAAAATATGTAATATAAACAAAATTACCTATATTCTTACTCCCCAGGAGCAAATAATGTGGTAGCATGTTTTGTTACTGTTATATTTATATTGATGCTAACTTTACAGAATAAAAAAAATAAAAATTAACATTAGAGTACATATTATTTCTCTATCATGATAAGCTTTACCAAACATTATTTTAAAGAATTTAAAATATATTAAAGAATATATGGGCAAAAAAAATGGATGGGTATAAATATACATGCCAGCACCTTTTTCATCTTCCAGGAATCTCTCTTATCACTTGTTTCTTCACAAGAAGAGGAAATAATAATCCAATACATCAGGTTCTCTCCACTAACTACTCGGATATTCTGTCTTTATATCAGATCCTTTTAGTACAACCAGGATCACTGGTTTTCACAAATGGGTTCCAGGTACAGCAAGACACAGATGCCCTCAGTAAGCGTGTGGTCTCCTGGGTGGGCTGTGGGCACTGAGAGCTTCTTGTTCATAAAGTCCTATTTACTCCAGAATGTTGTACAGTATTATAATTTTCTATGACTGTGGTGAACATATTTGTGAGCAAACCCTATTCAGTGTTTCATATACTTTATTAAAATAAATTCCCAGAAGTAAATGACTGGATAAGGAGATAAAGGCTTCCAAGCAAATGTTATGTATTACAAGACAGCTTGTTATAAAAGTTGCATCAATTTACACCTACTATAATGGAGTGAATTGTATTCCCACAAATTCCTGTGTTGAAGCTAAAACCCAGGAATTTGGGGACAATAAAATTCCCAAATTTCTGTATTTGGTGATAGGCCCTTTATGTAGGTAATCAGGGTTAAATGAGGTCATAAGAGTGGGGTTTTAGTTCAATACAACTGATGTCTTTATAAGAAGAACAAACACCCCAGTTCTTTCTGTGCCTCTCTTCCATGAGGAGAGGAAAGACTTGTGAAAGCATAGCGAAAGGTTGCTGACTGCCCACCAGGAAGACAGTCTGCATCAGTACCTATATCTTCTAGCATCTTAATCTTGGATTTTCAGTCTCCAGAACTAGGAGAAAATAAACGTCTGTTGTTTAAGCCACCCAATCTGTGTTATTAGGGCAGCCCAAGCAGACTAATACAACAACCAACAAAATATGGTTTCCATTATCCCACATATCTACCTAACCTTGATTCAAATATTGAGAAAAAGAGATACACACACACACACACACACACACACACACACAGAGAGAGAGAGAGAGAGAGAGCGATCAACAGAAACACAGGGAGAAAGAGAAACAAAGTTAAATAAACTTAACTATAATATCTTTGGTACTATATAAATTCATAAAAGATATTTCATAAAAAATGATTTTAAATCAATTCATTTAAATTATCAATTAGCATTAATTTTACCTGTGTGGTATTTAAACTTAGAGAAACTGGAACACTCTGACCGGTTTAATGCATATTGCAATTGCCAAAGAAGGTAGTATTTGAAGGACAAACATACCTTTATAGATTTATTCTGGAGTTAATTATTAAGCGAGTAAAGAGGAAACTTTGAAGAAACAACTTCTGTCAATAAACAGGTTTGTTAACATATTTTAGAAAAAGTGAATTGGTTTTGAGGGAGACAAAAAGCATTCTCAAAAGCTACCAGTAGATGGTGGAACAGGAGTAACCAAAATTGAGAAAACACCCATGTGTATTTTATATTCTCAATAATTACCTTTTGCTTTCTTTGTTCTGATGAGGGTTTTTTTTTCTATTTTAATAAAATGTGACTTTAGGCCACTCCAAGTGTAGTGGTGTTTACAGCTAATTGATCATAATCAGTTACAGATTTATTTGTTCCTTCTCCACTTCCACTGCTTCACTCGACAAACCTGTGTGTGTGTGTGTATATATATATATATATATATATATGCACGCACACACATATATATATATATGTGTGGTGGGTGTGTTATTTTGATATTAGTCTATGCATGTATAAAGTACACTTTAATGTTCTATACAGTGCTTTTAAGTTGTAATTTTTTCAAACAGAAAAGCATAAAAGATATCACACTTTATTTTTCCCCTTTTTATCATCTAGTCACACATTTCAGGCAAAGTTTGCTTGTCTGTATGTCTTAATACTTCATATATTATATTTCCATAGTATATGTGTGTCTTTTTATTTTTCAATAGAGAACACCCACTTTTATAAATCTAAGTTATAAAAACAACATAGAAAAATAAAGGAGAATGATTAAATTATAATTTAATCCATATTGGCCTATGTCAAAATAGTCTTTATTGTATAAATGTCTTTTTTTTTTTTTTTTTTTTGAGGCAGAGTCTCGCACTCTCGCCCAGGCTGGAGTGCACTGGCACGATCTGGGCTCACTGCAAGCTCAGCCTCCTGGGTTCACGCCATTCTCCTGCCTCAGCCTCCGGAGCAGCTGGGACCACAGGCGCCCGCCACCATGCCCGGCTAATTTTTTGTATTTTTAGTAGAGACGGGGTTTCACCATGTTAGCCAGGATGGTCTTGATCTCCTGACCTTGTGATCTGCCCGCCTCGGCCTCCCAAAGTGCTGGGATTACAGGCGTGAGCCACCGCGCCTGGCCCATATAAATGTCTTTCTATGGTTGGATTAATCAATGTTTGCTTTCCCTGTAGTATTAATATGTTCAAGTATTTATATTGAATATATACACAAAGTAATCAATTGTGATGTTCAACAATTATTTCCAGTTCTCGTCTAGCAGTCTTATGTCGTATCCCCAGTCTCTATTCTTTTCTGATGTAAAGTGTGGCCCAAGACCTGTTTTTGACATATTGTTTTTTTTATTGAGTAGTTTTCTGAACCTGTATGAAATTCACCTATTTTTTTCCCTGCAAAATTTCAGCTTCATTGATTAAATACATTAACATTTGTTAAGAAAATAAGACAGTACCTGGTACCTATAAAGTACCTGATAAAAATGTTTTTAATGCTCATTAGTTATCCATGGAGTTGGCCTGACTAAACCTGAATCAGGCTTCTCTTCTCAAAGGCTCCTAAACTTTGGCTTACCCTAATATTAAGCAAGCACTAAGCATTAATATCTCCCTTCACAGCTCATTCCAATCATCTACTGACCATAGAAAGAAGCATTTCTTATTGAAGCACCTTGATTTTCCACTTGATAGCTTTGCTGGCTTATCATGCTCTCCACAAAGTTCCTGCTAGTTCTACTTACCCGGGCTATAGTAAAAAAGCCTTTTCCCTGTTTAGTTTTGAGACACCTGCAATCCTGAGGTTGTCCAGTTATTCCTATTACAACAGCTTTTTAAAATAAAGTCTTTCCTTATCTATGTCTGGATTTGTTTTTATTTGACTATTCTTATGATTGTCTGCTATTGTTATTAGATCTAAAAATTGTTTTTTATTATTTCATCTTTTATTACCTGATACATCGTTATGGAAGCTCAGACTGACTAAGACATCTATCATGAATATGTCAGGAGCAATTTGATAATTTTGTTTTTATTGATCTGTAAACATTTCCTACTTCTTCCTTAATCAAATTGTATGGCAATGTAGGAATTTCTTAACTCCTATTCTCTTGAGTAACGTTGTCATTTTATTCATGTTGGTTGTTTAAAACTATGAATTTTATGTCTTTTTTTCTAATGGTTATCACTAAATGTCACAGAAATATGAATATATCATAATGAATATGTGGAACTAATTAATCATAAGACAAGAATCTTAGCATTCTTTTATTTCTTGTGTTCCAAACACCTTCTACAATTCACCATCTGATATCTTATTATCTGGTATTTTACATTCTGGTTACTTAAAAACATCATTAAAAATTTACAATATATTTGAATAAATCATATCCTTTTTTCCTTATTACACATCCGAGATATTTTCTCTTATTTTGAGAAGTTTCAAGTAAAGTTTCAGAGCGAGCTTGTTCATAGCAAATTTTTTTAGTATTCCAAGTCTAAAAAAGTATATTCAAGATATCATATGTAAATTACAATTTAGTCAATAATATTTACATGGTTTCAAAGTTATTTACCTATTGAACTAGCAAAAATGTTACTTAATTATCTTCTTAAATTCAGTGTTGCTCCTTAAAATTGTTACGCCAATCACATTATCTTTCTTTCATTTGTAATAAAAGCTCTTTGAGCTAAGGTCTTTCTGTAAGTAAAATGATGACAGGTAGCAACAACGCACACATTCTAAAGTACGTTTTTAAACCATCTGTGCAGAATGTATTAAGAGATTATAAGACTGGAATTCCTGATCTCTCCAATCTATCTTATAAAAAGTTTATAGAAACCAACTAGGAGAGGACCTTCCTGGGGCAAAGTATTAGATTCCTTGCAATTAGTGATTAGAAGTAGTATGTTTCCCGGCTGAGTGCGGTGGCTCATGACTGTAATCCCTGAAATCTGGGAGGCTGAGGCAGGCGGATCACCTGAGGTCAGGAGTTCAAGATCCGCCTGACCAACACGGAGAAACCCTGTCTCTACTAAAAGTACAAAATTAGCCAGGCGTGGTGGTGCAGGCCTGTTACCCCAGCTACTCAGAAGGCTGAGGCAGGAGAATTGCTTGAACCTGGGAGGTGGAGGTTGTGATGAGCCAAGTTTGTGCCATTGCACTACAGCCTGGACAACAAAAGTGAAACCCTGTCTCAAAAAAAAAAAAAAAAATTATGTTTCCCTTTCATCAACAAAGTGAAAGAGGCTTCACAGAAACCAACTACTGCGTGAGTCCTGTTTCTGGAGTTTGACTAGTACTCAGAACGATACCAAGCTGTATCTGGATTGATCTGAGATGACAAACCAGAGAGAAAGGAAGAGTGAGTTGTGTTGCTACTATGGACTACAAGATGATAGTGTACATCTTCCATGGGACAGGTGTAGAAGTAACCTGGTTTGGATTCCATCTCAAAAAGGACTTAAGTGAAGAGAAGATGGAATGATCTGACAGAGGGTTTAGTCAATGGAAATTCAGGAACTGGTGATGGTTGTTACTAAAAAGAAATAAACACAAAACACTCCTCAAAGGAGTATGTGTCTGTTTAAATGTACATCAAATTCCAGAAGAAAACAACAACAGCAACAACAACAACAAACTCTGACAGCATCAGCCTAATAAAATAGTCTTTTTTTTTTTGTCATTCCCCTCATGTGAGGCAACATCACTGGAGAGATGAGGAACCACCATATATTACATGGAAGAAGCTGACAAACAAGAAAAACAAACAAACAAGAACACCGTGCCACCTCTATTCTACTTTGAAAATTTTATAAGACTGGAGCAATACAACGTTAGAGAGAAGAGATCTAATTATACAGACCTGAGGTTTTTAAAAATTACTTTCTAACCTCACGTATTAATTGCTATTTGTGAGGCTAAATATGACCTATCAGATTGCATTGTGACAAAGTAGGAACTAATCCACAGAGGATGTAAAAAAAAGTGTGGTTGAAGAAAGATAAAAATCACTTTACCAGTGAACAACAGGGTCCCAAATATTCAATACAGTGATACAGTAATTATTAAGACATTATTACTTGGGGAGCTTGTTAAATATCAGTGTTGTTCACAGTATTGATACATATTTTTAGAAATGTTGAAAGTCATAGTATTTACTTAAAACTTTAGAGAGATAAATGAATAATTATTTGAGTTTAATAAATGCCTAAAATCACCTTATAGATTTGCTGCTAATAATTGACGAATAAAAATATATGAGGTCATAACAAAATTGATAACCTCATATATTCAGAAAGTAAGAATCTCTGAAAATTTTTTTCTATATAAAAGCAATAAGAACCCTAACAAAATTTTCAGCACCAACTTTTTCAAACTCTAGAAATAAATCTAAGTCTTGCAGCAATACAGAGAGAATGTATGCAAGAAAACTGGCTGAAACTCAGCAAGAATGGAAAACTATGTGGTGTTTTAACGTCTCCTCCATCCCCATCTCTGCAGTACCAATAAAAACCAGCAGCCTACAATCCCAGTGAAAACCCACAGTGGCAGCCACCAAAGAGAAAAACAGGAGCTCCTTCAAAGAATGTTTCCAGAGCACTGTCATTGACTTGGCTGGTGGTTTCCCAGAAGACACTAATGGTAAGTCTGTCTTTAAACAAACTGACTTGAAGCTCACCAGTATGAAAGCCTTTTCCTCTAGGTTATTTGTCAAAAACAATTACAGAAAATTGTTTAGCATTATGGCTGTCTGAAGAAGTGAATAACAGTTTGGGCAAACACTAGGCTAAGAGAAAACTGCAAAGCAAAATCTGGAGTATGAATGTTCATAGAGGATTTTATACATTCCTAAGTATTCCTGGGAATCCAGTAGGCCACAGACATGCTGTGTTCATTTCCTATGGCTTAAATTACAAATCACCAAAAACTTGTAAAAGCACAACATAGCTTAAACCAACAGAAATGTATTCTCTCACATTTCTGAAAGCAAAGAATTCAGAATTAATTATACTAAGCTTAAATCAAAGAGTTTGTAGGGCCATGCTTCCTCTAGAAAATGCAGAGGAGAACCCTAGCATCTGGAAACCTAGCTTCTAGAATTCCTGGGCTGTGGCTACATCATTCCAATCTCTGCATCTGTCTTCACATCACTTTCTTCTAATATGGGTATATAAACTTCCTCTGCCTTTTTCTTATAAGAACACCTCTGATTGGATCTATGGCCCACCCACATAATCCAGAATAATCATCCCATGGTAAACTCCTTAAGTTAATCACATCTGTATACACCTCTTTCCTTATAAGATGACATTTACAGGTTCCAGCAATGTCAGTGGCCACATACAAAATATGGAGACTTCACATAATTAGTTAAGGAGAGTCACTAAGAAATACCATTTGACCCAGCAATCCCATTACTGGGTATATACCCAAAGGAATATAAATAGTTCTATTATAAAGACATGCACATGCATATATTCATTGCAGCACTATTCACAAAAGCAAAAACATGATATCAACCTAAATGTTCATTGGTGATAGACTGGATAAAGAAAATGTGGTATATGTACACCATGTAATACTATGCAGCCATAAAAAGAATGAGATTATGCCCTTTGCCTGAACATGGATGGAGCTGGAGATCATTATTCTTAGCAAACTAATGCAAGAACAGAAAAAGAAATACCACATGTTCTCATCTATACATGGGAGCTAAATGATGAGAACACATGGATACAAAGAGAACAACACACATCTGGCCTATTAAAGGGTGGAGGGTGGGAGGAGGGAGGGATTAGGAAAAATACCTAATTTGATGCTAGGTTTAATACTTGGGTGATGAAATAATCTGTACAACAAACCCCCATGACACAAGTTTTCCATTGAAACAAACCTGCATATGTACCCCTTAACTTAGATGTTAAAAAAAGAAAAAATATTACAAAAAAACCAACACATACAAACAGCAACAAATCCTAGACAGAGGAGAGAATCTGATACTGAGAGTTGCCACATTGTACTATCCTAAAGGTCAGGCTTTCAACAAAAGTACATGTGACATACAGAAAAAAACAAAGTATGATGCATACATAGGTAACAATGCAATCAATAGAAATGTTCCAGAGAAAAACCTGAAAAATAATACATCAGATATTTTAAGTGTGTTCAATGAAGGTGTGGTGGCTCATACCTGTAATTCCGGTACTTCCACAAGACTGAGACTGGCAGGTTGCTTGAGCCCAGGAGTTCAAGATCAGCTTGGGCAACATGGTGAAACCACATCTCTCCAAAAATATGCAAAACGTAGCAGGGTGTGGTGGTATGTGTCTGTAGTCCCAGCTACTCAGGAGGCTGAGGTGGGAGGATCACCTGAACCTGGGGAGATCAAGGCTGCAGTGAACCATGATTGTGTCACTGCACTCCAGCCTGACAGTGTAAGACCCTATCTCAGAAAAGGAAAAGGAAAGAAAGAAAGAAAGAAAGAAAGAAAGAAAGAAAGAAAGAAAGAAAGAAAGAAAGAAAGAAAGAAAGAAAGAATAAAAGAAAAAGAAGAAATACATCACATCTAAAGAACTAAAAGAAAATTTGAAAAGAGTGTCTCAGTGTATTTGTTTGCTAGGGCTACCGTAACACAATACCACAGAGTGAGTGTCTTAAAAAAGAGAAATGTCTTTTCTCATGATTCTGGAGGCTAGAAGCCTAAGACCAATGTGTGGGCAAATTTAAATTTGTCTAAGGCCTCTCTCCTTGGTTCCTTCTCCACCTTCTCACTATATTGTCACACAATCTTTCCTCGACCTGTGTACCTCCTTTGTGTGCGCAAATCCACTCTTTCTTATAAAATCATCAGACAGATTTGATTAGGGACCTAAAAAATCATGTGGGTAGCCAGAAATGACTGAGAAGGACTTTATTCTATCTAGCTTACCAAGAGGTTCTCAGGTCAAGGAGTGGTTGTCATGCCTTGACCCTGATGGCTTCATTTTAACTTATTTACCTCCATTAAAGGCCTTATTTCCAAATATAGTCACATACTGGGGGGTTAGGATTTCAAATTAGAATTTTGGTGGGAAAAAAATCACCTCATAATACTCACTAGATAGAATATATCGAAGTATAGAGACATTGTTTTTTGAAAATCCAAAGAAAAATGTTGGAGTTAAAGTTCCAAATAATAATAATAAATAAAAAATTGACGCAGGGATTGATCAGTAGCAGCAAATGTGATTGGTTGGAGAAACAATCAGTGAACTTGAAGACAGTGCAATTGAGATTATCCAGTCTGAGGAACAAAAAGCAAAAATAATGAAGAAAAACAAACAGAGCCTCAGATACTCGTGGAGCACTATCAAGAGTACCAACATACACATAATGAGTGTCCCAGGAGGAGAGAAGAAACAGAGAGAGGCAGGAAAAAATATGAAGAAATAATAATTTAAAACATCTCAAATTCGAATAAAATATATAAATCTACCCATCTAAAAAGTTCAACAAATTCCAAGTAAAATAAAGTCAAAGAGAATAAAAATGAGACACATCATATTGAAACAATTCCGAGCCACAAAGCAAAAACGGAAACTTAAAATGAGCAAGTGAGAAGTAAATCATTACTAGGAAAGAGCCTCAGTAAAATATCAGCTATTTTTTCATCAGAAACCACAAACACCACGACACAGTAGGTTCACATATTCAAAATCCTGATAGAATAATATTAACTTCAAATTCCATATTTAGCAACACTACCTTTAAAATAATAAAGGAAAAACTAACAAATTCTCAGATAACAAAACTGAGAGAATTTGTCATTAGCACTGGCCTTATTAAGAAATACCAATAAAACAAAAGGATACTTGACAGTTGAATTGTATGAAAGAATGAAGTATGCTGGTAAAGATAACCACACCAGTAAATATAAAAGGGAGATAAATGTATTTTTTTAATTTGTTTTTCCTATCTGATTAAAAATTAAACCAACAAAGCCAAAACTATGAATTAACATTGATAGGCACATAATGTATAAACATGAAATTAATATACCAATAATACCATAAAGGAGGGCAAAAGGAATTGAGATATATAGGAGCAAAGGATTTGTATCCTATTAAAATTAAGTTGCTCTTCATATGGACTCGTTTATTATAGACTGAGATGTTAATTGCATTCCCCAGGGCAACCACAAAAGAAAAAAAAAACTTAAAAATATAATAAAAGCAGGGACAAATTGAAATTTTATGTACAAAAATTATATATTTAACCCCAAATAAGGTAATAATAATAAAAAAAGAAACAAACAGAACACAAAACACTAAGAAAACAAGAAGTAAAATGGCAAATATAATCCTGTATGTCTATAATAACATTGAATATGAAAGAATTAAAAATCTAGCCAAAAGGCAGAGATTGTTAGACCAGATCAACAAACATGACCTAATTATTTACTGCCTACAGAATTAAAAAAAAAAGAGGATGTAAACCAAAGGAAGCGATAAACGTAAGATCATAAATAAATAAAATTGAGAATAAAAAAATAAAGAAAAATTAATGAAACTAAAAGTTGGTTCTTTGGAAAGAGTAACAAAATTGACAAACTTTTAGTTAAGCAGATTATAAAAAAGAAAGAAGGCTCAAATTATTAAAATCAAGAATGAAGGAAGGGGCATAACTGCTAATTACAGACATCAAAAAGGATTATAAGGGAATACTATGAATGATTATATGCTAATACATCAGATAATGGACAAATTCCTAGAAAAACACAAACTACGGAAACTGACTCAAGAAGAAATAGAAAATCTGCATATAAGTATCATAAAGAGATTAAAGAATTAATGAAAATTTTCTACAAAGTTCAGATCAAAATGGATTCACTAGTGAATACCACTCCACCTTTAAAGAATTAACTGCAACTCCTCAGAAATATTAAACATATATAAGATGAGGGAATACTTACCAGTTTATTTTATGAGGACAAACTCAGGTTTGGATTTTATTTTCCTGCTTTAAATGGTGTTGATTTTTTCCTTGCAAACAAAATTTGTTTAAAGTTTTATTTTATTTTATTTTATTTTTAATTTACAGATAAAATAATTATATATATTTACAGGGTACAGTGTGATGTTTTGATTCATGCCTACATTGTGGAATGATGAAATTAGGCTAATTAATATATCTATCTCCTCAAATACTAATCATTTTCTTGTCATGAGAATACTTAAATCACCTCTTTTAGCTATTTTGAAATATACAATATATTATTATTAACTATAGTCACTGTGCTGTGCAATAGATCAACAGAACTTGTTCCACCTATCTAACTGAAACTTTGTACCCTTTCACCAATTGACATTTAATTTACTTTGTATATTATTGAATTTTCTTATTATTGTTTTTATGGTTATATAGGTAATCTAGCAGTTTTTTGTGGGTTTTATTTAGCACTACTCCTGAAGTATGTAGTCTTTGGGGGCTCAATACTTAATACTACAGGTGTTCATTAAATTTTGTCCTCTCTGGTTATTCAAAATCTCGGAATTCTATAAAAAGTCCAATTTTATTCTTCCTAAAGCTCCCTATGAGTCATTCTTCCATTGGCATTATGGAACTTTAAGCATACTCAGCTTAATATTTAGCCAAATATTCTACAGCATTTGTATGCAGATTTCTGGGATCTTTATCTGTTTAAATCTCTCAGTTCTGTTACTCTGCCCCTCAAATTCCACCTGCCATAGAATTCCAAATATCTGATCTCTACCACCTCAATTCAGTGAGATTTTCTTCTCTGGGATAGTGTCTGGGAAGTGTCTCTGATTGGAAACCTGGGCAAACATAGGGCTCATGTGACTTACTTTTCTTTGACAAATAAAAACAAATCCAGACTTAATAAAAGATAATGAGGCTTTTTTACTGGAAGAATTGGGGTATTGCCAGACAATTACAAAAAAAGTGTCCTTTGACATAAGCCCTTGAAAGATAGGTCTGAGACTTTCAATTCCTTCAGTTCTTGAAAGATACTGGGGTGGCTTAGGGAGGGCTATGTTGGGGGACTATATCCTTTTCAACAATTATGCTTTGCAATACATCCACAGCTCAGAGAGGCTCAGGAAAGTCAGTTAGTATGTCTGAACGTGAGGATGGTTAAGAGTTTTGGGAGCTGGGAGAGGGGTAAGCAATTTGGGTTGATCTATCAAAGTTGTTAGAGAACAACAGTGATTGGGGAGGAGTCCAGGACTTCAAGGGTTAGTCCTTTGGGGTGAACACCAAATATTTACATGCCAATAAGAAAGTTAATATCTGTCTAATCGACTAGTAGACGATAACCACGTTGGGCATTATGGGGTGAAGGAGATACAGAAAGTGGTTGAGAAAGGGGAAAGTTATATGGTAAGTTTTCCCATCCCACCGGTGAGATCGTTGATATATTCTCAGGGATTATGGTGAGATCATATAAGGTCTTAAAGTAGCACAAATGGCTTTAGTGTCTGTCAAAAAGGTGCAGGGGTGCTCATTGACTGAGATTATGATTTCATCCAGTTAGTTTAAGGGTTTTTGAGGGGCACATAGGACCATATCCTTCAGAGATATCACTGAGACTTTTGAGTTTGATAAATTCTCTTTCTTTTTGCATAGGCATTAGCCCCAATGTTTCTTTCCCTTACAATACCTAAGATTGACCCAGTATGTAGGACATTGTAGGGAAGTTAAGGTAATGTGAAGAACTTGGAATGGATTTGAAGGACCTGAGAGGAAAAGAGAGAGAAAAGAGAAAGGCTGGGAATGCCTTTGAGGGTGGAGTAAGTGAGAAATAAATATGAGTAGTAAGTACACATAAGTCTACTTAAGTAATACGCAAGTAGAGATAAGCAGGAGAAACAAATTCAAGAGGCTTATTGTACAGCAGACTATACCGTACTTTTAAAAAAGGAAAAAAGTAGATGTTGAATGCTCTCACCACAAAAATAACTGTGTTAGGTAATGCATTTGTTCATTAGCTAGATTTAACCATTTTACTCTCTCTATATACATACACACAAACATATATATATATATATATCTTAGAACATATATATATATCAGAGCATAACATTATATGATAAATACATATAATATTATTTGTGAAATTAGAAAATAACAAAATACATATTTGAGGGAGACAGAATATTATTGAGAGATTAAATAGGCTCAGATTAAGTAGATCAAGTTTGCTGAATGTCCTAATTAAACTTACACTGAGAAACCTTTTGGTTTACACATTCCATAACAAATAAGCAGACTACTGATTAATAAGCAGACCATTGATTATAGAGGAGAGCACAAGAACCTCAAAAAGGCCACTTCAGTTCTACATTATTCTTAGAAATATGTGTCATTGGAGATATTTAACAGAGGTAGTGCAATAATTACAGAGTATATAGTCAGTGGGAGAAGAGAATAAAGGGTACCCGTACAGTGAGCTATGCACAGGATTTGATTATTAAACAGAGATAAGACTTCGAAGAACTAGGAAAGATTCCCTCTCAGTTCATTTCCTTGCACAATCCTATGTCCAATAAGCCAGAGAAACAGTCCCATGAAATTCCAGCCTGGAAATTTGAAGAAAACCAGAAGAGGCTGCACAGAAAGGCCAAAGAGAAGTCTCTTTGCCTACAGGAGTTAAAGTAAATTCTTACTGTGTTTCAAGAGACAAGACATCTGTAGGCTGGATTGAGTGTTGAACTCACCAAAAATTCACTGTATCAATTAAGATAAAAGGAGTTCAAAGGATTTGCAAGTTTCCATTACCTGGTCAAGAATGACAAGGTTTCATAGTTGAGACTCAATGTTGATCCTAATTGCAGCACCAGGAAATTGTCAACTAAAAACTTACTTGGAATTAATATAAAAATTACTGAAAATATTTTGCAATAAAAATTCTATAAACAAAAGATTTGCAAACTTCTTAAGGAACAAGCGGGAAAAGGCTTTTCTTTTATAGGGAGAATAGAACAAGGCTAAGAGGAATCAATATTAGGGATTAGGATCTAGAAGGTTTCCCTGAGGTCTGTGAATTATTGTTGAGGCAGCTCTGCATTCCTTTTCCGCTCAGCGCTGAGGACAGTAGTGGGTTCTGGGCCTTTTGGGTTGTTTTGTAAAGAATGTAAGTTAATGTGAGGTAAATATAATGTATGATGGTTAATTAGTGCATTGCAGAGGTATTAAATCAGGCTTTTTCAGAGAAACTGAACCAATGGGCTGTGTGTGTGTGTGTGTGTGTGTGTGTGTGTGTGTGCGCGCGTGTATGTATGTGTGTGAGTAGATTTATTTTAAAGAATCAGGTGATTATGGAGGCTGGAAAGTTCTAAATCTGCAGAGTGGGCTGGCAGGCTGGAGACCCAGAAAACTTCATGTTGCAGTTCAAGCCCCAAGATCATCTGTTGGCAGAGTTATGTTCAGATCTTGTATCGTGGGATAATGCTGACTTACAGTCTAAAAAGTGATCTTATTTACTCAAAATACACTAATTTAAATTTAAATTTCAGCCCAAAACATCCTCAAATAAACATCTAGAAAGTATTTGACCACATATCTGGGCACTGTGGTCCAGCTGAGTTGACACACAAAATTAAACATTACAATGAATATGAAAACTTTTTGCCTTTCTTCCCTAATGCAGTGCAACTCAAATAGTAATGTGCATAGGATCACGTGGGATATTTTGTATATAGTTGGGATCCCAGAAACCTGTACTTAGTAGTGCAATTCATAAACCTCTTATAACGGACATGAATTAATGATTTTAGCAGTCTCAAGCAGGTAAGAGATTCAGATACAGGCGGTCATGCACCTTTCTTTGAGAAGCACTATTAGTGATTTTCTTCTGACATTTAGTGTTTAATTAATGTTTTATGAAATTGTGGAAATTTCAAGCACCTGCAATTGTTCATCATGGTCATGTTTAATGGTCTGAAAATAACATGTCATGTCTATAATATGCTTTGAATCCATTCATTTCTTTTAACTTTTTAAATTACTAATTTACTAGGCTTATTATGTTTGCATTTTTTACTGCTGTAATAAGACTTGTTAAAATGTAAACTCTAAATATCATCCCCTGTAGATATTCTTTTAGTTGCTTTATTTATTTGTTTGTTTATTTATTTATTTGAGATGGAGTCTCGCTGTGTCGCCCAGTCTGGAGTGCAGTGGCCCGATCTCGGCTCACTGCAACCTCTGCCTCCTGGTTTCAAGAGATTCTCCTGCCTCAGCCTCCAGCATAGCTGGGATTACAGGCACACGCCACCACGCCCAGTTAATTTTTGTATTTTTAGTAGAGATGGGGTTTCACCATGTTGGTCAGGCTGGTCTCGAACTCTTGACCCCGTGATCCACCCTCCTCGGCCTCCCAAAGTACTGGGATTACAGGCATAAGCCATCACGCCCAGCCACTAGTTGCCTTATTTATTTAATATTCACTTATTGTCAATGAATTAGCTTAATGATGATATCAAAAGACTAGCAATCTGCACCCTGGAATATGTATAGGTTTTACAAAGTGTATAAATTCAATTGTCTACTCAATTTATTTATTTTTCTTTATTTTCAACTTTTAAGTTCAGGTGTACAAGTGCAGGACGTGCGGGTTTCCTACATAGGTAAATGTATGTCACAGTGGTTTACTGCACAGATCATCCCATCACCCAAGTATTAAGCCCAGCACCAATTAGCTATTCTTCCTGATGTTCTCCCTCCCCCAGTCTCCTGCAGTTACCCAGTGTGTGTTTTTCCCCTCCCCTCATATATCCATGTGTTCTCATCAGTCAGCTCCCACTTATAAGTGTGTCTACTCAATTTCAATTTAAAATTAGAAACAAAAATACAATGCCTACATATGAGATACACATATTAACAAAATACCTAGCAGTTTGGATTTTCATACAATTAAAGGATAGTAATCTTTACCAACCCATGGATATTAGAAAATAAACTTCGTGACTCTTATCTTCTGGCAAAGGTTAGTTTTAGGATTTAGACCAAATTTGCATTCTCCACACTGTGGGATGTAAAGTGGAATGACAGTGTCACTCACCTTCAGCTTAGTAACTTCCTCGCCAACGCTTTCCACAATTCCAAGCAACTTCATGTCCCAAGATCACTGGAAAACAACCCTTAGGATCAGCTCCACTCAGGGTATAGGTGTCGGTGTGGCAAACCACAGTGGCAATGATTGTGATTCGAACTTCATTAGCCTTTGGGGGTGCCACCTCTATCTCCTCTATGGAGAGAGGCTTTCCAGTCTGCCAGGCAACTGCAGGCTTGTACTTGATAACCTGGTTCACCACGTCCACGGATTCTGGTCAATGTGGGGGTCCCAATTTCATTTCTAATAGAGCTTATTTGATTTTTCTCTTTTTCTTGGTAAATCTCATTAATAGTCTATAAATTTTGCTTATCTTTTCAAAGAACCAGCTTTTTGTTTCATTTATCTTTTACACTTTTTTGTTTCAATTTAATTTAATTCTGTTCTGATTTTTGTTATTTCTATTCTTCTGCCTGCTTTGGCTTTAGTGTGTTCTTATTTCTTCAGTTCCTTGAGGTGTGAATTTAGGCTGTCTGTTTGCACTCTTTTAGATGTTTTGATGTAGGCATTTAACTCTATGAACTTTCCTCTTACCACCACTTTTGCTGTATCCCAGAGGTTTAATATGTTTTGTCACTATTTTCATTCATTTCAAAAGTTTTTAAAATTTCCATCTTGATTTCATTGTTAACCCAAGAATCATTCAAAAGCAGATTATTTAATTTTCATGTATTTGCATAGTTTTGAGGCTTCCTTTGGGAGTTCATTTTCAATTTTAATTCCACTGTGGTCTTGTTAGCAATAGGGAGTGTATCCAAGTCATGCAGTATGAAAGTGTGTTAGCAGTGGCAATTCTGTATGGGTCTACATAACCTTGATTCTTCCCTCCTCAGAAGATAGTATTTGACTGAGGGCTATAAGGCAGAGGGAGAGACAGAAGCAGGTTTTAGAGCAGGAATGAAAGTTTATTTGAAAGCTTTAGATCAGGAACAAAAAGAAATAAAGTACATATGGAAGAGGGCCAAGCAGGCGACTTGAGGGATTCAAGTGCACAGTTTGACCTTTGACTTGGGGTTTTATACACTGTCATGATTCTGGGGTCTAGCATCCTTTCTCTCCTGATTCTTCCCTTAGGTTGGGCTGTTCACATGTGCAGTGGCCTGTTAACACTTTGGGAGGGGCTGCATGCAGAATGTGTTTACTGAAGTTCTATGCATTCTCACTCAAAGTGTTCTTCCCTTACCAGTCAAGGGTTCCTTAAAGAGGTCATATACCAGTTAAACTCCACCAATTTGGCTCTTACTTTGCATGCTTGAGCCCACTCACCCAACTCTGATCTTATTGGGAAGCTGCTGCTCATCAGTTTCAAGTTTTCTGTCTATTGGGAGACTACTTTTTTCTGGCCTTGGCTGCAACCAATTGTTATTTTAGAGAGACAGCTTAACAACCCCATGACCATCACCTGAGGGTCATGTAACATTCCTGTTGGGGATGGGACCCTCTCCTTCCCTGCCCATGCCTGAGTAACTACCAACTGTAACATCACAGTCTGAGAAGATACTTGATATAATTTCAATTTTCTTAAATTTATTCAGATGAGACTCATTGGCTTATTATATGATCTATCTTGGAAAATGTTCCATGTGCTGATGAAAATAATGTTTATTCTGCAGTTGTTTGGAAGAATGTTCTGTAAAAAATTGTTAGGTCTATTTGTTTTAAGGTATAGTTTAAGTCCATTGTTTCTTTGCTGAATTTCTCTCTTAATAATCTGCCTCGTGCTGTCAGTGGAGTATTGAAGTCCCCCCCACTATTGTGTTGCTGTCTATTCAATTTTACACATCTTGTAGCAATTATTTTCTAAATCTGGGAACTCCAATGTTAGGTGCATATAAATTTAGGATTGTAATATCTTCCTGTTGAACTAATCATTTTATCATTGTATAATGTCCTTCTTTGTCTTTTTGTACTGTTGTTGCTTTAAAGTCTGTTTTGTGTGATGTAAGAATAGCTGCTCCTGTTCACTGTTGGTTTCCATTTGCATGGAATATCTTTTTCCACACCTTTACTTCAAGTTTCTATGAATCCTTAATGTGTTAGATGAATCTCTTGATGACAACAGATATTTGACTGTTTTTTTTTTTTTAATTCACTCTGCCATTCTGCATCTTTTAAGTGGAGCATTTAGGGCATTTACATGACAAAACAGGGCTCTATAACTCCCCCACAAAATCACACTAGATCCACAGCAATAGATCCAAACAAAGATAAAAATCTCTGAAGTGCCATATAAAGAATTAAGAAGGTTGATTATTAACCTACTCAAGAAGATACAAGAGAAAGTTGAAAACCGATTAAAGAAATTCAAAAAACAATCTAGGATTTGAATTAAAAATTTTGTAGAGAGATAGCTACCATAAAGAAAGAACAACCACAACTTCTGGAAATGAAAGATACACCTAGAAAAATACAAAATGCAGTGGAAAGTTTCAACAATAGACCAGAACAAGTAGAAGAAAGCATGTCAGAGCTCAATTTCCCCTACTGGAAATTTATTGCCTTCCCCACTACTGGAGGTTTGTGTGAGGCTCAACATACCCTACTGGAGAGTTCTCACCTTTCCTTTCCTAGAGGCTCAACGCCCCCTGGTGGAGGTTTCTTGCACTCTTCTTCATTCGCTTCGTTCTTCTCTGGCCATTTCCCTCTCAGGCGTTGGGTCTCTCTTAGCATTGGTTGGTCAGTATAAACCCCTGACCCAGACTCCTTTAGAGGAGCACTGCCATAAGCCATATGAAGGGACCATGGAACCACAGATGCAGACTCAACACTAGCTTTTCACTCAATTGTGCATCTTATTCACATGCTTTCAACCTTCAAGGTATCCCAACCACCAAGGAAGTACTTTGTCACTCTTGCGATGTTTCTTACCTTGGTCTGTGAACAGAGTTACCTGGTCACCGCAGTATGTGAGCTTTCTTTCCCCAACTTGTTGGTCTGTTTCTTTCCTCATTGCTGAGAGTCCAGGTTTATTTGTCACACTGGTGGCTCCCAATTCCTCACCCTGAGGCCACTGCAATGAGGCAGTGCAATAAGTCTCCTCATGAGAGGTTACCGGAGACCCTTTCCCCATAGGAGAATGGGAATCCCAGATAAGCCCCCAGATTGCTGAAAATAAGAGCTCAGAGTTGCAAGGAAAACGAGCACTCAAACAACAGATTTCTCAGCAAGGCAAATTTACTTCTGCAGAAGGGTGCCACTCGCACTTCTGGCTGCTATGAGAGCATACCGAACAAAGGAGGGAAGGGGTTTTTATCCATAAAACGGTTAGTCACTGCTTCTATGTCCTGTTCACACTGGCTGGGGCTGGACCACACAATCTAAGCTAATCCCAACTGGCTATTTCAAATACAGCAGGGATGTGGGTTACAGTGGCAGGACGAGTGGTTTGGGCAGGAAGAAGTTTTGGCAGGAAGGGCAGTTGCAGAGTGGGTAACCAAGGGAACAGATGTGCGTTATAGTTTAAGACTGGCAGGAAGGTTGTTTACTGTAACTAGGGGCAAGGAGGTACAAAGAACGAAGAAGTTAGGCTTTGAAAATAGAGAACAAAGAACAAGGAAGCTGAACAAGCTGACTCTTTGAAGAGGAACTTACTGTACCTAACAACTTCCAAAAATACAGCTTAAAGAGTTCCATGTACTTACTCCCCAGTAAAACAATTGTACTAACAAAAAAAAGTTTTTTAAAAAAACTAACAATTTATATCATCTGAAAATTCTTCTAAGGGCATATAGCAAGTGAAGAAACATTTTTTAAAAGAAACTACCAAATCTTGTAGATCTGAACAAGAACAGTTAAAGTCTGCTTCACTTGAGCCATGATGCACTTCTTTCCACTTCCACCTATCCTCTTTTCTCAAACATATTTGCATGAGAGAAGCTCCACTAAAACAAGTAAAAAAAATTAGGCTCCATCTCCCTTTGGCTCCTTATAAAAGAAAAGAGCATCTCATGAGAATAGGGCAAGTAAGCATCATTTCTCATCCCCCTAGTTCTAAGTTGAAATGTATAATCTGACAACTATTGCTACAAAATTACAGTTTCCTTTTTCCATCGATCCCCCACTTATAGTAAGGAGGCTCTATTCCAAGTGTATCCAAGGACAGTGGAATACTGATTACTCTCACTCCAGCTCACCCATGTGGTGGCAAACAATAACAACTACAATGAAAATAAGGTGAGTGGAAATAGTATATTTGAAGTGGTAGAATTCCCAAAATAGAAGGCAGATCTATGGAGATTATGAATGCTGAAGAATAAGGAAAAATCAATGAAGAAAAATGAGGAGAGTCTTGGAGAAACATAAAAAAGTATTAAACATGCAAACATATGCATATTAGGTGATCCAGGAGAGGAGATAAAAAACACTAGCTGAAAACTTCATATTTAATTAAAAATAAATTAATCTACACACAAGAAGCTCAACAAACTAAAATTTAGAAATGTGCAAAGATACCACCCCCCACACATATTATAAAAATTGTCATAATCATAAAAAGAAAAATTAGAAAACTATAACAGAAACATAATTTATCATGTACAAGGAAATGCTAATAATATTAATAGCTACCTTTATATCATGGACAATGAAAGTCATAGTGGACCTATATATTCAAAATGCTGAAAAATAAACGTAAGCCAAAAATCTTATATTCAGCAAAAGTATTTCTCAAAATTAATAAAATAAAAATGCCTCCAGAGAAATGAATTCTGAGAGAATTCATAACTAGCAGATGTGTCTTACCTGAAGTACTGAAGGTAATTCTTCACGGTTAAAGCAAGTGCCTACGGACTGCAACTGAAAACAAACAAACAGACAAAAATTAAGAGCACCAGTAGAGGTAATTATGACATTCTAAAATACAGCAGGGATGCTTATCTATTCTCCTTTTTCTCATAACTAATGTAAAGAGCATTGTACAAACAACATATATTTATGATTGTATTGTTACAACAACAGCATATAAAAATGAAATTAATTGACAATAACAACACAAAGTAGGTGGGTAAGAACAAAGCTGTACTGGAATAATGACATGACATAGATAGTAATGAATCTACAAAAACAAATTAAGAGAACAATAATTGGTAAATAAGAAGGTTAACAAATGCTGTAAATATATGTTTGCTTTATTTCTTCTCTCAGCCTCTTTCAAATAGATATAATTCTGTAAAGTTATAATATTACATTTTTAAATTTTTAACATATGTACAATTAATGTATACAACAATACCCCCCTCAAAAAAGTAGGAATAAAGACATATAAGGATAATAATTCTGTTTCAACAGAATTACTTTTATATAAGTACATGTAATAAGATGTATTTAGAAGCCCTGGCAGGAACACTAAGAAAATGACAAAAAAATACAATAAAAAATTAAAGATATTAAAGGAGTTAAAATTCATTCAAGAAAATATTCACTTAATGCAAGAAAGCAATAAAGGAGGAATGTAGAAAAAAGAATACGAGTCATATAAAAATAGAAATGGCAGAGGAATTTGCACACTACATGAATAATATTAATTTTGAAAGAATTTACAAATCTAATTAAGAGGAAGAGATTGCTAGAGTTGATTAAAAAGATTTAATTATATACTATCTACAGCTGACACGTTTTAGATTTCAGATGCAAAGATACAAATACATTGAAAGTTAAAGAATGGTAAAATTTGTGTCATAAGAATATAAATATTTCTCCATAAGAAATATGGAGTGACTGTGGTAATATTAGGCACTGTACACTATAAGACATAAATGACATAACTAGACATAAAGACAATTTATAATGATAAAAGCCAATCCATCACAAGCATATAAGAATTATAAAAATATACACAAATACAACAGTGTTCCAAAATGCATGAAACAGAAACTAGAAGAATTGAAGAAAGAAATGGACAATTCAACAACAATATAAAGCCTTAAATACTTCCTTTTTAATAATGGGTATAACAATTAGGCAGGCAATTGACAAGAAAATAAAAGACTTGAACAATACTATAAATCAACCTCACCTAACAAACTTCTATAGAACACACTACTCAATAACAGCAGAATACATAATCTTCTCAAATGCACATGGTACATTCTCCACCCTAGACAAAACACGTATCTAAATGTGTTTAAAACATATCTAACATATCTATCAAAACACATATCTAAATATATTTAAAAGGGTCAAAATCATGTAGAGTATGTTCTTCAATCACAAAATGGAATTACAAATTAACAGAACAAAACTGGTAAAATCACAAATATTTGGAAATTGAAGAATGCACTTCTAAAAACCAATGAATTCAAGGAAAAGTCAAAAGAGAAACTAGAAAGTTTTTTTGAAATAAATCAAACTAGATAAATGTACTTTGAGATAAATGAAAGTAAGGGCACAACATGCCCAAATTTACGGACTACAATAAAAGTAGTGTTTACAGCATTAATTTATAGCTGTAAATATCTACACTAAAAGAGAAGAGCAAACTCAAATCAATAACCTAACTTTCCAACTTATGGCACCATTTGAAGACAAACAGACTGTAGCCAAAGCACATGGAAGCAGGGGAATAACAGTGTGAAAATTAATAAAATAGAGAATAGACAAGCAATCAAATATATGAATCAAAAGTTTTCTTCTTTGAAAAAAATCAACAAAATTGGCTAATCTATAGCTATACTGACCCAGAAAAAAGTCAAAATCAAATCATTAACATCAGAAATGAAATTACTAATAAACTTAAAAAATTGAAAATTATTATAAGGGAATTCTATAAACAATTATATGCTAACAAATTAGATAACATAGATGAAATGGTCATATTCCTAAAATGCATGAACTAACAAGAATGAATTAAAAAGTATATATATTTTATATGTAAAATTCGTTGCATTTGCAATTTACAAACTACCCAAAAGAAAAATCCAAGGTTCAGGTGGCTTCGGTGGTGAATTCCACAGAACATTTAAATAACTAATTTCATATATTTACAAACATTTCCAAAGTATAGAAGGAAAGGGAAAACTTCCCAATTCACTTAAAGAAGCCAATATTAACCTGATAACAAAATTGGACAAAGTCATTACAAGCAAAGAAAACTACGGACCAATATTTATTAGGAATATTGTTGCTAAAATTCTCAACGCACAATTAGTGGTGAATGATTAGTGACTGCTAATGGAATTTGTGTGTGTGAATAAAAATGTTTTAAAATTTATTGTAGTGATGGTTTCCCAACTCTATGATTGTACTAAAAACTACTGACTATTCACTTTAAACAGCTACATTCTAAAATGTTTGAATTTTTCTCCAATAAATCTGCTTTAAAATTATTTTAAAAATACACAAAGAGGATGTTTTATTGGTATCATAGTAGACAGAGCAGTAGAATAAACCAGTGAGTACACACTTTCACAAAAAAAAGATACATGATTTATGACACAGTTGAAACTACAAACTTTTAGTATACTAGACTATTTGATGTCTATAATAAAATAAACTTAAATTTTCTCTTACAGTATAAACAATCCTACAGTATAAACAGTATAATATATATATAGTTACAGACTGAATATTGTGTATCCCCAAAAATTCAATATTAAAATCTAATCCTCAATATGATCCTCTTTGGAGCTGGATCCTTTGGGTGGTAATTAGGCCATAAGGGTGGACCCTTAATGAATGCAATTAGTGCCCTTAAAAAAAGAGGCCAGAGCGCTAGCCTGTCATCTTTCTGTGACGTGAGGATTAAAAAAAAAAAAAAAAAAGAAAGAAAGAAAAAGAAAGAAAGTGAGCTGGCTGCAACCTGACAGAGGGCCCTCGCCAGAACTCAATTATGCTGGGGCACTGATCTTGGACTTTCAGCTTCCAGAACTGTGAAAAATAAATGTTTATTATAAAAGCCACCCAGTCTATGATAATTTGTTATAACACCCTTTACTGTGATAGAAGTAAACATGGAAATTACAATAAGACCTCTACAAGATAGCAGAAGAGAATATATTTAAATTTTGAAATAGGAAAATTTTATTTTATTTTATTATTTATTTATTTTTGAGACAGAGTCTTGCTCTGTTGCCCAGGCTCGAGTGTAGTGGCACTACCTCGGCTCACTGCAAGGTCTGCCTCCCAGGTTCACGCCATTCTCCTGCCTCAGCCTCCCGAGTAGCTGGGACTACAGGCGCCCGCCACCACGCCCAACTAATTTTTTTGTATTTTTAGTAGAGACGGGGTTTCACCATGTTAGCCAGGATGGTCTCAATCTCCTGACCTCGTGATCCACCCGCCTCAGCCTCCCAAAGTGCTGGGATGACAGGTGTGAGCCACCACGCCTGGCCTGAAATAGGAAAATTTTAAAGGACATAAAGTTAATGGGCAAGAAACAGAGTTGGAAAAGCTACTCTAACAATTATTTCCAATAAAGGATTCACATGTACACAGTAACAGTTACTAATAGAAACTAACTAAATAATAGAGTATTCACTACAATGATAGTCAAAAACATTGAGGTCTTGTGGACAAAGACTTACGGACAGGTGCAAAACATAAATCCTCTTCTGCAACCCAGAACTTATTGTTCAGTATGAGTTTTGATACATGTAAGAAGGGATATTATGACACCTGAGACAGTTAACTGATGGGAGTATTGACAGCCATAAAGGTTGTTTCCAGGCCAGGCACAGTGGCTCAAGCCTGCAATCCCCACACCAAAGTGGGAGTATTGCTTAAAACCAGGAGTTCAAGACCAGCCTGGGCAAGATAGTAACAAACACCTCATCTCCACAAAAATTTAAAAATTAGCTGGGTATTGGGACATGTGCCTGTAGTTGCAGCTACTCAGGAAGCTGAGGTTGAGGCAAAAGGATTGAGCACAGGAGCTGGAGGCTGCACTAAGCATTGATGGTACCACTGTACTCCAGCCTGGGTAACAAAGACAGACCCTGTCTCTTAATAAAAAAATATTGATTCTAGGATAGTAGAATAGATAGTTAAACAGCATGGAATATGAGGGAAATCCTCAGCAGTATTAATTTTTCATTCCAGTTCCATGTTGACCATACATATGATGGCTTTTTGTTTAAAGGCTTTTATCTTGAGAACATGATGTCTGGAGTTAAAGGGATTGGCATCTTCCACACATCTGTACTATTCTTGAGTGTGATCATTTAGGAATGAATATGATTTGAACTCATACATGTTAAGAGAGGTTGCCAAATTGAGAACCAAGCAGATCCACCACCAGCAGTAAAAAGGACCCTAAAGTAAATTGGTTGAAGAAATTAGATCCCAAAGATTCTTGGTAAATTTTGAAGTCTTCATCAGTATATCCATATCAAAAGGAGATGACAGAAACCAAAATAAAAGAATTATGGGCTGAAAAGGACAACTGGATTAAAATAAGCATCATTTCATTAAAAATGGCTAACATGAAGATAAATCTTTTGACTCCAGCTCTTTAGAGGATCTAAAGTGACCTTAATGGACAGTGGAAGAAATCACAACATGGAATTCCCTGAATAAAAATTTATTGACTTTAAATAGTTTTGTCTAATGTTACATATACACAATTAAAAACAACCTCTTTACACTGAAAAAACAAACAAACAAAACAAAACAAAACATTGAGGTAACAGTTCCCAAATCAGCCAGGCCAAATGTTCACTAAACAAAATCAAACATCACTAATCAAACATCTTATAATTATGAAAACACAAATACAAATTAAGATCATTATAAGATAACAATTCATAAATATCAGAATATCTGAAATAAAACAATACAGATGGCAATACTAATTTTTGTGAAAATATAAAACCACAAAACTACTTTACACTGTATGGAGTGTATACATTGATGCAGCCACTTCAAAAAACTGATTGGCATTCATTAAAGCTAAACATACCCTATGACTCAGAAATTTCACTTCTGATTTACACCAAATGTATATACAAGATTATTTACATTGCCATATAAAAGTTGAAAATTAGAAACAATACAATTTCTCATCAACAGTGAAATACATAAATTATAACAATATGCATTAATCTAGCAATCATATTGACTGTAAATTATCCAAACACAAAGTGATACCCACAGTTTGGTTCCATGTGTTTAAAATTTATAAATTATTTGGTGTTTATGTGAGGAAGGGGAGAAATATTTAGGAAGGGATGATGGAGAAACCTCAAAATTGCTAGTAATGCTCTATCTCTTGACTTTACTCATTACTAACCATTACTTAGTAATGATTACCTGAATATATTCACTTTTTATTTTTTACCATTTGTTAAGCTATAGGTAAGATTTTTGCAGATTTTCTCCATGTGTTATAATTCAATAAATATATCATTTTACCTTTTTGCTAAAAACCCCTCTCAAGAGATGCAAAATTATATGCAAAGACCTTACCTGGGAAAACAAAATCATATACATATTTACAGAGATGGTTGAATCACCATCTCTGTAAAATAATCTCCTCCATACTCACTCTGTTACAGTGACACTGAACTTCTTGTGTTTTTTACACATAGGAAGAACATGTAATTTCTTGTCCAATGAGGGTGCCTGCAGTTTTTTGTTAAACGATATCTATTAAATTTATACTGAGACCACAGCAATAAACTAGAACTATTTTGGGAAAACTATAATGAGTGGTAAGTCTACATGTACACCCCAAGTGAGTTTTTGCATTAGGAGCAATAATATCAACCTGTCATGCTCTTTTTGCAGAACCTCTCATGGCTCAGTTCCTGCTGTACTTAAGCTTACTGTTTGTTATGATTTGAATTGTGGCTACCCCCCAAATTTCTAGCCCCTAGTATCTCAGAATATAACCTTATAGGAAATACGGTCATTGTAGGTGTAATTAGTTAAGATGCAGTCATAATGGAGCAGGGTGGGCTCTTGATCGAATATGACTGGTTTCCTTATACAAAGATATTGTGAGGACACAGGAGGGGAATACTATGAGAGCAGATAGAGACACACACAGAGAACACGATGTGACAACAAAGTAAAAGACTGAATTGGTGTATCATCTTCCAACCAAGGACTGACATCCCAAACCAGCAAGCTAGGAAGAGGCAAAAGATCATTCCACCCAGAGTTTCAAAGGGAGTACCACCCTGCTGAAACCTCTGTTTTTAATTTCTAGCTTCCAGGACTGGAAGATGATGAATTTCTGTTTATTTAAACAACTTAGTTGTCGTAATTTGTTATGGCAGGGCTGGGGAATTAATACACTGTTAGTGGGCCATCTAATCAGAGAGGCATCCCTTAGTCAATCTAACAAACATAGATCCCCCACATCATACCCTGTCTCTTGAAATCCCTTTACACTCTCCAATTTTTCCCACATCTATCTCTAAGTGATCTTCTGTAGATTAGCTATTTCACTCTCTGTCTCTCCATACAGGGTATAAGCTAAAGAGAAGCAACTTTGTAGTCAGAGGGAGTTCACTCCCTGTTTCATCCCCTTGGACTAAAGTCATATTTGGTATAGAGTGGAGAGTTGTTAAGTATTTGATGTATCAGTAAATTCATGAGTAAATGTATGATTTTATTGTGAATTTAAAAGTATTTTGTGATCTAACATATAGTCAATTAGAACAAATTAAATTTTTTATGTGTTCTCAAAATAATTTGTTTTGCTATTTTGTATGCAACGTTATATGTCATTAAGAAAAATGATCCTCTCTAAGACAACTGATGTATTTTTTAAAATTTCCACTCTGCTTTCTGTTGTAGAGTATTGATCTATATGACAGAAACAAATAGGACAAAGATAGATTCTCTCAGCCACTGAGAGAATGTCAGAAGGTAAGAGAGATGGAGCAAAATAGAATTTCACTCTAGCTTTTTCCAGCAAGTCTTTAAGAGGGGCTCTGTTCCTAGGCCAAAAGACATCATTTTATAGATTTATAGATTTAGTTCATTTATAGATTTAATTCTACTCCTATAAAACTACCAGTGGTATTCTTCACATAATTAGAAAAAAAATCTATCTAAAATTCACATGGAGTCCTATTTTAAAAAATATTTCCTTCACACTATCCTACCTTGAGTTTGCAAATGTTTTCTGATAAGTGTTTGATTTATATATTAAGCCAGTGTTTCAATTTCACCAGCTGTTATTTGATGATTTTTAAATTTACTTTCAACTGTAAGATTTCATTTATTATGAGCAAGAATTTATGTATGGGTATATGAAATTATATGAATATTGATCCTGCTTTTTAAAATAACTTTTAAAATTCCAGGTGTTTTTAAGAATATAAGCAAGAAAAACTGACTCATTTACTATAAGAAAAAAATAAATATCTCATATTGTAAATACAGTGAGTCAAATGATAGTAACATTCATTTGGTAAACGTGCAGCAAATTCAATATTTCATATTTGATTCGTTCAACAAAATGATAATTTTAGTTAAAATGCATAAATATAAATAATTTTAAATCTGACATAATGACTAATATTTTTTTAACATTGAATAAACTGAAAAACTTCAGTATAAGCTGAACAAATTTAAAGCTGTGGCAGCAAAACTTTCACATGGACGAAGAACCTTATAAGTTCTGCTATGGTGTAAAAAATCAACTGAGAATGCGATTATAACAGGATAGCTAACTCAAGAAGCATGTAGCAGTATTTGTCTTGACTTATAAACTCCTAAGGCATTTGAAGATTTACTTATCACAAGGTCCAAATGAGAAATGATTGCCTTACAGGTTGTTAAAACTATATATGAGTTCAAAAATTAATCAGGTATTGACAAATTAGGGAAAATAAAGCCAGCAAAAATGAACCCACTGCAGATATTATTAAGTCAAGTTTGTGTGTGTGTGTGTGTGTGTGTGTGTGTTAGGCTGGGCACAATGGCTCATGCCTGTAATCCCAGCACTTTGGGAGGCCGAGGTGGGTCGATCATTTGAGGTCAGGAGTTCGAGACCAGCCTGGCCCACATGGCAAAACCCCGCCTCTACTATAAATACAAAAATTAGCCAGGCATGGTGGTGGGGACCTATACTCCCAGCTACTCAGAAGGCTGAGGCAGGAGAATCACTTGAACCCAGAAGGTGGAGGTTGCAATGAGCCAAGATCGCACCTGTGTACTCCATCTTGGGCGATGGATCCCTAATTATTGATTTTACCTAGAATTTAATAAAAATGAAAGCAAACAACAAATACCTTTATATACCTGGCTTCTTCCTCTCAACATAATGTCTGTAAAATTCATCCATATTATCATGGGTATCAGTATTTCTATGTTTCATTTCTTCTTAGTTACATATTATTGGGGGATTATACCAAAATTATTTATTCATTTATCTTTGGATGGACTGTAGGACATGAGTCTGTATATGGTGTTTGGTATTATGATTAAAGGGGCTCCAAACATTCATTTATAAGTGATCTTATGAGCATATATATTCATTTTCCTTGGAAAAATACCTAGATGTTTGACTCCTGTGTCATATGATAAGTTTAGGCTTACTTTTTAAAGAGAGAGTCAGCCAGTTTTCCAAAGAGAAAAATAAAAATAAATTTACCTATTGACACTCTCTGGAATGTGTGAGAGCTCTGTGTTCTACATCCTTATGAACTGTTGCAGTTGATACCCTTTTAACTTTAGCATACCAGTTAATATAAGTGATATATTCCAAGGATGTTAGTTTGCAGTGTTTTGGTGATCAATAATGTCATTGTTCTCTTCAGGTAAATATTTTCCAGTTACATATTATTTTTGGGACATGTTTATGCAAGTGCTTTACATTACATAGGATTTTTTAATCTCCTTAATTTGTGGGAGGTTTTTGAATATTGTAGATGGAAGTACTGTGTTATATATTTTCTCCTAGACTATGACTCATCCATTCATGTTTTTTTTTATTTTTTATGGTATCTTCTGAAGAGCAAAAAGTTTTATTTTGATAAAGTACAATTTATCAAAATTGCCCTTTTTGGTAATACTTTTTGTATGCTATTTAAGAAACTTTTACCTTTACCAAGATTGCATAGATTTTTCTCCTATGTTGTCATGTAGGTGTTTAATATTTGTGGTTTTAAAATTTATGTCTACAATTTTCAATTATTTTTGTGTATCACCATAGGTGAAGATTAAAGTTCATCTTTTCGCACAAATATCTACTTTGTTCCACATTGTTTAAAGGTAGACACTTGTGTGGAAAAATAAACTTCAATCTTCACCTACCTAATTAGGTACATTGCTATCTTTAAGGTATCAAGGTACATTGAATTACTTTGGCACCTCTGTTGAAAGTTAATCAGTGGTGTCTTTGGGATTGTATTTCTGTATTTATTAATTTATGCAATGATTTATTTATGTCTCATGTGAGAATGAGATATTATGATAACTGCTCTAGATTTATGGTAAGTTGTGAACTTCGAAAAGGTGAATCCCTCAATTTTGTATGTTCTTTTTCAAACATGATTTCAGAAATGTTAGGCTTTTTGCATTTCCTAAAATATTTTAGTCCAATTTGTCACCTTTTAGAATAAACCTTTTGAAATTTAATTAGGATTGCCTTAATTTACATATTGATTTTTGGAAATTGGAAATTATAATAATATGAAGTCTTTCATTCTGTGAATGTGACACATCTCTATTTTATTAGTTTGTATTGTAATACATAAAAATTTTCACAGTTTTACTGCCTTAAGGCAATATATGTTTATTATCTCACAGTTTTTATGATTCAGAAACCCTAGCATGACTTATCTGGGTCTTCTGCTCAGAGTCTTAACTAGGCTGAGATCAAAATGTTGGGCAGATGGTGTTCTCACGAGGAGCTTGGGACTTGTTCAGATCATTCCAGTTGTTGGCAAAATTCAGTTCCTGGTTGTGATTGGATTGAGGCCTTTGGTACTGGGAGGCTTCCCAGATCCACGGGTAGTTTACAGCATGGCTCTTTGCTTTTTAAAGACCAGAAGGAGAGCATCTCTTTCTTTAGAAAGTGTCTAATCTCTCTTTTAAATACTTTACACTGTTTAAGTCAGAAAAAACTAGGAAAGCCAATCTTCCTTTTTAATGAGTCAAAGTCACCTGATTTGGGACCTTACGTCTACAAAAGTCCTTCACATTTGCCTGTGACCATATATAATGATCTTCCCACAGGAGTAATAACCCATCATATTCCCAGATCCTGCCCATATTTATGGGATGGGGATTACACAGGGCATATATATCAGTAGGTATGAATCTTGAGGGTCAGCCTAGAATCTAGCTGCCACTTCTATTTATTTAGATATTATTTACTTCCCTTAACATACTTTGCAGTTTCCATTTTAGAGGTTTATACATACTTCATTAAATGTGTTCTGAAACATTTTGATTTTAATGTTATTGTAAATGGCAGTTTTAAACTTTATTTTCCAATAATTTGCTGCTACTGTAGAAACATGCAATTGATTCTCTATATTCAGTTTGTAACTTGTGATTTTATTAAACTGCTTAGTCATTCTAGCAATTTTCTTGTTTTGGTTATAGAAATGGTTTGGCTCTGTGTCCCCACCCAAATCTGACATTGAATTGTAGCTCCCATGTTCCCCATGTGTCATGGGAGGGACCTGGTAGGAGGTAATTGAAACATGGAGGCAGGCTTTTCCCATGCTGTTCTCATAATATGAATAAGTCTCATGAGATCAGATGGTTTATAAAAAAAAAGTTCCCCCGCATATGCTCTCTTGCCTGCCACCATGTAATATGAGCCTTTGGCTTCCACCATGATTCTGAGGCTTCCCCATTCATGTGGAATGGTGAGTCAATTAAACCTCTTTCCTTTTTAAATTACCCAGTCTTGGGTATGTTTTTATTTGCAGCATGAGAACAGACGAATACAGTTATGATTGTTGCTTTTCATTTCTACAAAAACAGCCATGTCATCTGAGATAAAGAAAATTTTACGTTTATATTTTCCAATATGTATAATTTCTTTTTAACTTTAATAGACTACCTAGACCCTTCTCTACAGTATGGTACAGTAAGTAAACCTACTTGCATGATTGGATATCCTTGAAGAGAGAGAGCATTTTTTGCTAGCTTATGATCTTGGGAAAAAGTTATTCACTTTTTCTCTATTAAGGTTGATATTTGCCATACGGTTTTTGAGATAGCCTTTAAAAGTTTGATGGTATTTTCTTCAATACCTACTGTTGTGAGAGTTTTTTATCATGAATGGATATATTCAATTTTGTCAAATGTTTTAATGTATCATTGAGGAGGAATTATTCTGAGCTTTTTTTTGAAGTTAGTGATATAAAGCTAACTATATTATCCTCAGTTAATATTTTAATATTTCAATGCTCTACAGAGATATTCTCCCTTTAATTCCTAATTTTAGTAACCCTTACATTTCCTTTTGATTTCTCCCATCAGTCTGTATATTTGGTTGTAAATGTTATTCATCTTTTCAAAAGACTATTTTTGGCTTAGTTCGTTTTGTTTTTCATTTTTTTCTTTATTTTTAGCATTTATTTATATCTGCTTATTTACTTGCTTACTTATTCACTAAGTTGCTTTTCTAATTTTTCTGTTGTTAGATGATTTTTTTTACTTTTCTTCTTTTTTTTTTTACTACAAATACTTAAAGCTACAAATTTTTCTTTGAATGCTGTTTTAGCCGAATTTCCTACATTTTGATATGAGGTATTTTCATTATTCAGTGTTGATATGGTTTAGCTGTGTCCCCACCCAAATCTCAAATTGAATTGTAATAATCCCCACATGTCAAGGGTGGGGCCAGGCAGAAATAATTGAATCATAGGGGCAGTTTCTCCCATACTATTCTCAGGGTAATAAATAAGTCTCATTATACCTGATCGTTTTATAAATGAGAGTTCCTCTGCACAAGCTCTCTTGCCTCCTGCCATGTAAGATGTGCCTTTCTTTCTCCTTTGACTTCTGCCATAATTGTGAGGCCTCTCTAGCAATGTGAAACTGTGAGTCCATTAAATCTCTTTCCTTTATAAATTACCGAGTTTGGGATATGCCTTTATTAGCAGTGTGAGAACAGACTAATTTTGATTTATTCTTTGAAACCGAGATCACTTAAAAACATTTTGCTTAATATCTAGAGCATATTTTACTTATATGGCACTGTTTTACTCAAAGCAAATTTATTTGCAAAGTCAGCAATGGATATTAAGGAGATCTTATGGCAAGCCAAAATTTTCATGTCCCATACTTTTAGGCACTAGTCTAACCCTATACTGCCCAACCTGTAGCGTTTCTGTTCGGTTTCCAACTACAGAGTTGCCATTCTCTGGTATTTCTTGGATAATCTCGCTTTGTGCATGCATGTTCAGTTTGGTCCTAAGCTGCAGAGTTGCAGGGGCCCCTAGATTGCCTCCTGTCCATATCTTTTCACCTTCAACACTGCATTCTGTGCATTCTAGCTGCTTCAGTTGTCACAAGTTTTTTTGTCTCCTTACTTCAGCAGGTCTATCATGCTCTTATTGGAATCAGCTTGCTGCATATGGTTGAGGAAGAGTCCCTAGGCTAAGAGCCAGAGAAAATATGGAGTTGATCTTGTGATTTTTCCCTTCTCACAGAGACCACAGGTAGATAACTGATGTATAATCCCTGAAATATGTTTTCAAATATAATTTCTCTAATTTTATAAATTATTTTCCCAAGAGGGTCATTCAGATGCCAGTTACTCCATCATAAGTGAGAACATAAAAATAAATTATGCACGTAAAAATATATAAATGGGTTAAAAAACAGCAAAAGTTAGCAAAAGAAAGCAAAAGTTACACTATTAAATATTAACTGAATAAACTGGGAAGAAAATTACATGATTCATGCAATCAATTAAATTCTTTAGAAAAACACAATAATACTAAGGAAAACAAAACAGCATAACTAATAAAAATAAAAATAATAAGTTAATAAATTAGAAATTAGAATAAGAATCCAAATAATGATTATTAAAAATAGATTAAAATTTACATATTGAGAAAAATTCATATTGCTAATGTGTAATAATTGATTACAAAACAAAATAAGGAGGAAATTTAAAAGGTTGTGATACATTATTGTTATTATTATTACTATTATTTTGGACAGGGCACCACTACGTTGCCCAGGCTGGTCTGCAGTGTCATGACTATGGCTCACTGCATCCTCGACCTCCAGGGCTCAAGCAATCCTCCCACCTCAGCTGGTACTCCAGGCACAGGTCACCATGACAGCTTATTTTTCTGTAGAAACTGTGTATTGCTATGATGCCAAGGTTGGTGTTGAACTCGTGGGCTCAAGAATCCTTCCAAAGTTCTTGGATTGCAGGCATGAGCCACCACACTTGGCCATGACATATTAGTTTGATAATGCTATAGAAACGAAGTAGATCACCTCAATGAAATCTGTTTTCTAAAAGTACATAATTTACCAAATCTTACCTTAAAAGGTAGAAACAAAGTTAAATCAGACACATTCCTATAGAAGTAGATGATGAAAACAAATCCAAACCAGAAGAACTGCTTTTTACAAACAGCACCAATCTAAACTATTTTCATTGAGGATTGTCAATTAAAAAAAAAAACAAGGAATTTTTATCTTTGCCAAACAGATTGGAGATGATTACTGAAAACGAGTACACTAGTCATAAAATAGTGTAAATAGTCATTATTTTTCATTGCCAGTGAAGTGCAAATTTGTATAGCCTCTAAAAATGCAGTGTGCTAATATGTGTCTAATTTAGACATGCACATAACCCTTGTACCAGAAGTGTTTGTATTTACAATATCTCACCTGTGAGAGATAGTTAAAGAGCATTGTTTTAAAACACCGAAACATGGAAATCAATCTAAATGTCCTTTAAGAAAGAACAATGTTAAAAAATCATATTGTATTTATGTATTGAAATACAAAAAATTATTATAAAGAATTAGTCACTTTCATATACAATGATTTGAAATATTGCAAAATATATTGTTGTTAAAAAGTACTGTTCAGAATACAACTATAATATCCAACACATTATTATTAAAAGTGAATAAATATACATGTATTTTTGCAAATACCTAAAATATCTATGAAAGGATGAAGAAAAATGTAAAAGTAATTTCCAGTGAGTAAGTTATCTTCATGTTGAGAAAAGAGTTTGGCAAAGTTTTTTTTTTGTATTTTTGTAAAAGATAAAATAATCTATGTATTGTGGGTCACATATACCCTAGCCATACATTTCTTGTTTTTTATAAAACTTTTAAAATATAAAAAATATTACTAGTTCAAAGGCCAGGGATTCTAAAACTTTATTCTTTCATACATTATCTATGTATGTTTATACTTTATTTTATATCATAGACTCATTAATATTGAACTAAACATCCCTCCCAAACTACCATTATGGCATGAAAATATGAACATACGTATGAAGTTATATTTGTTTTTATATTCTACCTCATTTTATATTAAAGATTTTCTTTGGTTGAGGTAAATGCTACCCTAAATTTTGGTTCAGTCTTTTTATTTTTTTATTTTAAGTTCAGAGATACAAGTGCAGGATGTGCAGGTTTGTTACATAGGTAGGCATGTGCCATGGTGGTTTGCTGCACCTATCACCCCATCACCTAGGTATTAAGCCCAGCACGCATTAGCTATTTTTCCTGATGCTCACCCACCTCCCAGTCTCCCATGACAGGCCCCAGTGTGTGTTGTTATCCTCCATGTGTCCATGTGTTCTCATTGTTCAGCTCCCACTTGTAAGTGAGAACTCTTGGTGTTTGGTTTGTTGTTCCTGAGTTAGTTTACTGAGGATAATGGCTTCTGGATCCATCCATATCCCTGTAAAGGACATGCTCTCATTTATTTATATGGCTGCATAGTATTCCATGGTGTATATGTACCACATTTTCTTTATCCGATCTATCATTGATGGGCATTTGGGTTGATTCCATGTCTTTACTATTGTGAATAGTGTTGCAGTGAACATATGCATGTATGTATCTTTATATAAAATGATATATTTCTTTGGGTATATGCTCAGTAATGGGATTGCTAGGTCAAATGGTATTTCTGGTTCTAGGTCTCTGAGGAATCAACACACTGTCTTCCACAATGGTTAAACTAATTTGCATTCCCACCAAGAGTGTAAAAATGTTGCTATTTCTCCACAACTTCACCAGCATCTATTGTTTCTTGACTATTTAAAAATCACATTCTGTCTGGCATGAGATGGTATCTCATTGTTGTTTGATTTGCATTTCTTTAATGTGTTATTTTTTCATATGTTTGCTGGCCTCATGCAAGTTTTCTGTTGAGAAGTGTTTGCTCATGTCCTTTGCCCACTTTTTAATGGAGTTATTCATTTTATTCCTTGTAAATTTGTTTAAGTATCTTGTAGATTCTGGATATTAGATCTTTGTCAGATGGATACATGGCAAAATTTTTATCCCATTCTATAGGTTGTCTGTTTGTTTTGATGATAGTTTCTTTGGCTGTGCAGAAGCTCTTTAGTTTAATTATATTCTATATGTCAACTTTTGCTTTTGCCACAATTGCTTTTAATGTTTTCATCATGAAATTTTGCACATGCCTATGTCCATAATGGTATTGCCTAGATTTTTCTTCTAGGGTTTTTATAGTTTGGGGTTTTATATTTAAGTCTTTAATTCATCTTGAGTTAATTTTTGTATAAAGTGTAAGGAAGGGGTCCAGTTTCAATTTTCTGCATATGGCTAGACAGTTCTCCCAGCACCATTTATTAAATAGGTAATCCTTTCCCCATTGATTGTGATATGGTTTGGCTGTGGGGACTCCCCACCAATCTCATCTTGAATTGTAGTTCCCATAATTACCACATGTTGTGGGAGGTACCGGTGGAAGATAATTGAATAATGGAGGTGGTATGCCCTATAATGTTCTTGTGGTAGTGAATAAATCCGACGAGATCTGATGGTTTCATAAGGGAAAAACCCTTTCACTTGGTTCTCTTTGATTCCTCTTGTCTGCTGCCATGCAAGACTTGCCTTTCATCTTCCACCATGATCGTGAGGGCTCCCCAGCCACGTGGAACTGTGAGTCCATTAAACCTCTTTTTCTTTAGGAATTACCTAGTCTCATATATGTCTTTATCAGCAGTGTTAAAATGGAATAATACAGCTTGTTTTTGTCAGGTTTGTCAAAGATCAGATGGTTGTAGATGTGCAGTCTTACTTCTCAGTTCTGTATTGTTCCTTTGGTCTATATGTCTGTTTTTGTACCAGTATCATGTTCTTATGGTTACTGTAACCTTGTAGTATAGTTTGATTTCAGGTAGCATGATGCCTCCAGCTTTGTGCTTTTTGCTTAAGATTGTCTTGGCTACACAGGCTGTTTTTTTATTCCATATTAATTTTAAAGCAGTTGTTTTTTTCTAATTCTCTGAAGAACATCACTGGTAGTTTAATGGTAATAGCATTGAATTTATAAATTACTTTGGGCAATATGGCCATTTTCATGATATTGATTCTTTCTATCCATGAATATGAAATGTTTTTCCATTTGTTTGTGCCTGCTTTGATTTTCTTGAGCAATGCTTTGTGGTTCTCCTTGAAGAGGTCCTTCACTTTTCTTGTTAGCTGTATTCCTAGGTATTTTATTTTCTTTGTAGTAATTGTTATTGGAAGTTCATTTATGATTTGGCTCTCCACTTGTCTGTTGTTGATGTATAAGAATGCTTGTGATTTCTGGCATTGATTTTGTATTCTGAGACTGCTGAATTTGCTTATCAGCTTAAGCTTTTGGGCTGAGATGAAGGGATTTTCTAGATACAGGATAGTGTCATCTGCAAACAGAGACGGTTTGTCTTCCTATATTCCTATCTGAATACATTTTATTTCTCTTACCTGATTGGCCTGGCCAGAAATTCCAATACTATGTTGAAAAGGAGTAGTGAGAGAGGGCATTCTTGTCTAGTGATGGTTTTCAAGAGGAATTCTTCCAGCTTTTGCTCATTCAGTATGATATTGGCTGTGGCTTTGTCATAAATGGCTCTTATTTTTTTGAAATATCTTCTATCAATACCTAGTTTATTGAGACTTTTAAACTTGAAGGTTGTTGAATGTTATCAAAGGCCTTTTGTGAACCTGTTGAGATAATAATGTGGTTTCTGTTTATGTAATAGATTATGTTTATTGATTTGCCTATGTTGAACCAGCCTTGCATCCTGGGGATGAAGCCAACTTGATCATGGTGGATAAGCTTTTTGATGTGCTGCTGCATTCAGTTTGCCAGTATTTTATTGAGGCTTTTCACATCGATGTTCGTCAAAGATATTGGCCTAAATTTGTTGTTGTTGTTGTACCTCTGCTGTGTTTTGGTATCAGAATGATGCTGGCCTCATAAAACGAGTTATGGAGGAATCTCTGCTTATCAATTGTTTGAAATAGTTTCAGAAGAAATGGTACCAACTCCTCTTTGTACGTCTGGTAAAATTCAGCTATAAATCCCTCTGGTTGTGGGCTTTTTTTTTTTTTTTTTGGTTGGTAGGTGTTTATTACTGCCTCAGTTGTTTAGGAACTTGTTATTGATCTATGCAGGGATTCATTTTGTTCCTGGTTCAGTCTTAGGAGGGTGTATGTGTCCAGGAATTTGTCTATATAATTTTTATGTATTTGTTTATAGGGTATATGTATATATATTATATTTTATGTTATATTTATATGAGTTTATATGCTGATTTTATTTCCAGTGGGTTAATATTATACTTAATGTTATGTACATAAATATTTATTTATATTAGAGTACTTGCTTTGTAATTCTTTCACTTGGATAAATGTAGCAAATCACATTATTTGAGTGTAACAATCTCCTCTTGATGGCCTCTATGTTTCTTAATTTCTGCTACTGTGGATAGCTGATAAGAATATACTTGTATAAATCTCTGAGTTAATGCGTGAAAGAATTGTTCTTGTATAAAGAAGTGGAAGCAGTATTTTAAGGTATAGAGCATGTAATTCCTCATCTTTATAAAATCATACAGTAATAAACTCTTTGCCAGTGTGGTTGTATCAATGGATACTTGTACATTCCTCAGCATTTACTTCAACATCTGATGTTTTCAAATGTTTTAATTTTCTCCATCAAATGGTCA
The DNA here is from genome assembly GCF_000001405.40 of Homo sapiens. Classification (NCBI taxonomy): domain Eukaryota; kingdom Metazoa; phylum Chordata; class Mammalia; order Primates; family Hominidae; genus Homo; species Homo sapiens. The sequence continues at coordinate 23,957,704 of NC_000005.10, read as the reverse complement.
TAAAATTTTATCTTATGACCTTTATTTTAATGTCTTCATTATCAATGATGCTTGCCTCTATGTGACTCCTTTCTACAGAAAGTAAATTCCTGACTTTTCCCACTTTCTATTGGTTTTAATTGCACTTTCTTATTGTCTTTATGTATTCGTAATAGGGATACTTTTGTCGTATCAGCAAGATATAAGAAATTTATTTATCTATTTATTGGTTTGAGGTAGAGTCTTGCTCTGTCACCCAAACTGGAGTGCAGTGGGATGATCTTGGCTTGCTGCAACCTCCACCTCTTGAGTTCAAGTGATTATCCTGCCTCAGCCTCCCCAGCAGCTGGAGTGACAGGTGCATCCCACCACCCCCAGCTAATTTTTGTATCTTTTAGTACAGATTGGGTTTCTGCATTTTGGCTAGGCTGGTCTCAAACTCCTGACGTTAAGTGATCTACCCACCTGAACCTCCTAAAGTGCTGGAATTACAGGTGTCAGCAAATATTCCCAGCCAATAAATTTAATACACTTCTATTCCACTGAACTATTATCTTGTCTGTTCTTGTACCGATAGTATTTCCTATCAGTTTTCTAAGAATTACCTACAGCTTCACATCTCAATAAGTATTAGGGCAAATCCCACATTTAGTTTTTTCTGCAGCAGTATTTTGCCTGTTCTTGGATGTAAAATCTACTATTTTCTCTTTCTAATTTTGTAATTAGATAGATATTTGGGCATAAAATCTACCAAATGCATTTCAAATCCTCTTAATAGATATTTTAAAAATTCTGTAGAAATCTTATTGAAATCAATGGCATTGACTGTACAAATAAACTTGAGGAAAATTGATACCTTTTTATTATATTTTCTAATATAAATAGACAAATTCCTCCACATTTTTAACAATTGTGTTTTGTGTCTTCTAAGAAATGAACAATTTAATTTTATTTTTCAATTATGTATAGAAAGACACCAGCAATTTATATTAATTTTATGTTCAGATACCTTATTAAACTTTCCAAACAACTTAAAAAACATATTTCAGGATATTATCCATAAAAACTTCCTCAGTCTCACTAGACAGGCCAACAGGCAAATTCAGCAATTACAGAGAACCCCTGAAAGATTCTACAACAAGAAGATTATCTCCAAGACACATAATTGTCAGATTTTTCCAAGGACGAAATGAAAGAATATTAAAGGCAGCCAGAGACAAAAGGCAGGTAACCTACAAATGGAACCCTATTAGACTAACAGTGAACCTCTCAGCAGAAACTCTACAAGCTTCTTAAAAAAAGAAGTCTTCAACCAAGAATTTCATACCAGCCAAAGCAAGAATCCAAAGGGTAGGAGAAATAAGATCTTTTTCAGATAAACCAATGCTGAGAGAGTTTGTTACCATCAGACCCACCTTATAAGAGATCTTGAAACAAGCACTAAATATGAAAAAGAAAGACCATTACCAGCCAATAAAAAAACACACTTAAGTACATAGACAAGTGACATTGTAAAGCAACCACATAAACAAGTTGGCATAATAACCAGCTGATAACATAATGACAGGATCAAATCCACACATATCAATACTAACTGTGAATGTAAATAGGCTAAATGTCTCATTTAAAAAGCACAGAGTGACAAGCTGGATACAAAAGCAAGATTTGTTGATATGTGGTCTTCAAGAGACCAGCCTTACACGCAATGACACCCATAGGCTCAAAGTAAAGACAAGGAGGAAAATCTACTGAGCAAATGGAATTCAGTAAAAAAAAGCAGGGGTTGCAATCCTAATTTCAGACAAAACAAACTTTAAAGCAACAAATATTAAAAAAGAAAAAGAAAAAGAAAAAGAAGGGCATTACATAATGGTAAAGGATTCAATTTGAAAAGAAGACCTAACTACCCTAAATACATATGCAACTACCACAGGAACATCCAGATTCATAAAGCAAGTTCTTAGACACCTACAAAGAGAATTAGGCTCCCACACAATAATAGGGGGAAACTTCAACACTCCACTGATACTTAGATCATCGAGGCAGAAGATACTCAGGACATGACCTCAAAATTGGACAAAATAGATTTCATAGACCTCTGAAGAACTCCCCACCAAAAACAACAGAATATACATTCTTCTCATCACCACAAGGCACATATTTTACAATCAATCATATAGTCATAAAACAATCCTCAGAAAATGTGAAAGAACTAAAATTACACCAAACACACTCTTGGACCACAAACAATAAAAATAGAAATAAATAATTAAAAAATTGCCCAAATATATGCAAACACATGGAAAGTAAGTAACCTGCTCCTGGATGGCTTTAGATAAATAATGAAATTAAGGATAAAACAGAAATTCTTTGAAACTAATGAGAACAAATACACAAGTTACCAGAATCTCTGGGATTTAAGGCAGTGTTGAGAGAAATTTATAGCACTAAATGTCCACATCAAAAAATTAGAAAGATCTCAAATTAACAACCTAACATCACAGCTAAAGGAACTGGAGAAACAAGAGCAAACCAACTCTAAAGCTAGAAGACAGACATTAAAAAATCAGCTAAACTGAATAAGATCGAGACACAAAAAAAATTCAAAAGATCAACAAATCAAGGAGTTGACTTTTTGAAAAAAATAGTAAAGTAGATAGGTGGCTGGGCAGATTAATAAAGAAGAAAAGAGAGAAAATCTAAAGAAACAAATTTAGAAATGACAAATGGGATGTTGTCACTGACCCCACAGAAATACAAATAATAATCAGAGACTACTAGGAACACCTCTATGCACACAAACTAGAAAACTTAGAAGAGATGGATACATTTCTGGATTCATACACCCTCCCAAGACTGAACCAGGAAGACACTGATTCCCTGAAAAGACAAATAACAGGTTCCAAAATTGAACCAGTAACAAATAGACTACCAACTAACAAAAGCCCAAGACCAGATGGAGTCACAGCCAAATTCTGCCAGATGTACAGAGAAGAGCTAGTACCATTTCTGCTGAAACTATTCCCAAATAAATGAGGAGGAAGGACTTCTCCCCAACTCATTCTATTAAGTCAGCATCATTCTGGTACCAAAACCTAGCAGAGACACAGCGAAAAAAAAAAAAAAAAGAAAGAAAACTTCAGGCCAATATCTTGGATTAACATTGATGTAAAAATTCTCAACAAAATACTAGCAAACTGAATTCAGAAGCACATCAGACAGCTAGCTAATCCACAATGATCAAGTAGACTTTATTCCCTGGGTGCAAGTTTGGTTTAACATCTGCAAATCAATAAATGTGATTCATCACATAAACAGAACCAAAGGCAAAAACTACATATTTATCTTAACAGATGCAGAAAACACTTTTGATAAAATTCAACATCCCTTCATGTTAAAAACTTTCAATAGCCTAGGCATTGAAGGAACACACCTCCAAAAAAGAAAAAAAAAAAAAGGCCATCAATGACAAACCCACAGGCAACATCATGCTGAATGTGCAAAATCAAGAAGCATTTCCCTTGAAAACCAGCACAAGACAAGCATGCCCTTCCTCAACATTCCTCTTCCTATTGGAAGTTCTGGCCAGGGCAATCAGGCAAGAGAAAGAAATAAAGGGCATTCAAATTGGAAGAGAGGAAGTCAAACTATCCCTGTTTGCAGACGGCATGTTTCTGTATTTAGAAAACCCCATAGTCTCAGGCCAAAAGTTCCAGCTGATAAACAATTTTGGCAACATCTCAGGATACAAAATCAACATAAGAAACTACTGGCGGCCGGGCGCGGTGGCTCACGCCTGTAAACCCAGCACTTTGGGAGGCCGAGGCGGGCAGATCACGAGGTCAGGAGATCGAGACCATCCTGGCTAACACGGTGAAACCCCGTCTCTACTAAAAATACAAAAAATTAGCCGGGCAAGGTGGCGGGCGCCTGTAGTCCCAGCTACTTGGGAGGCTGAGGCAGAAGAATGGCATGAACCCCGGGGGGCAGAGCCTGCAGTGAGCCGAGATTGCGCCACTGCACTCCAGCCTGGGCGAAAGAGCGAGACTCCGTCTCAAAAAAAAAAAAAAAGAAAAAAAAAAAGAAATTACTGGCATTCCTATATATCAACAACAGCCAAGCTGAAAATCAAGTCAGGAATGCCATCTAATTTATAATGGATACAAAAAAATAAAACACCTAGGAATACAGCTAACCAGGGATGCGGAAGATCTCTACAATGAGAATTACAAAGCACTGCTCGAAAAATCAGAGATGACATAAACAAGTGGAAAAACATGCTATGCTTGAGAATAGAGAGAATCGATATAATTAAAATGGCCTTACTGTCCAAAGAAATTTACAGATTTGCTATTTCTGTCAAACTACCAATGTCATTCTTCACAGAACTAGAAAAGAAAACTCTTTTAAAATTCATTAGAAACAAACAAATAAACAAAGCCTAAGGCAATCCTAAGCAAAAAGGACAAAGATAGAGGCATATCTAACCAACTTGAAACTGCACTATAGCGCTACAGAAATCAAAACAGTGTGGTACTGGTATAAAAACAGACACGTAGACCAATGGAACACAATACAGACCCCAGAAATAAGTCTGCACACCTACAACCATCTCATCCTTGATAAAAATGACAAAAATAAGCAATAGGGAAAGGACTATTCAATAAATGGGTAACTGGCTAGCCATATGCAAAAAATGGAAACTGGACCCCTCTCTTTCATTATATATATATACACATACATACATATATATTTAAATCAACTCAAGATAGATTGAAGACTTAAATGCAAAACTCAAAACTATAAAAACCCTGGAAGACAACAAGGCAATACCATTATAGACATAGAAACTGACAAGTATTTCATAATAAAGACACCAAAAACAACAGCAACAAAAGTAAAAATTGATTAATGAGATCTAATTATACTAAAGAGCTTCTGCACAGCAAAAGAAACTATCAACAGAGTAAACTGACAACCTACAAAATGGGAGAAAATATTTGCAAACAATGTATCTGACAAAGATCTAATATCCAGCATCTATAAGGAACTTAAACAAATTTACAGGGGAAAAACAACCCCATTAAAAAGTGAGCAATAGCCATGAACAATCACTTTTCAAAAGAAAACATATATGTGGTCAAAAAACCTGTATCAAGCTCAGTATCACAGATCATTACAGAAATGAAAATCAAAACCACAATGAGATACTATTGTGTCCAGAATTGGTGGGTTCTTGGTCTCACTGACTTCAAGAATGAAGCCTCGGACCCTCGCGGTGAGTGTTACAGCTCTTAAGGTGGCGCGCGTCTGGAGTTTGTTCCTTCTGATGTTCGGATGTGTTCAGTTTCTTCCTTCTGGTGGGTTCGTGGTCTCGCTAGCTCAGGAGTGAAGCTGCAGACCTTCGCGGTGAGTGTTACAACTCATAAAAGCAGTGTGGACCCAAAGAGTGAGCAGTAGCAAGATTTATTGCAAAGAGCGAAAGAACAAAGCCTCCACAGTGTGGAAGGGGTCCCGAGCGGGTTGCCACTGCTGGTTCAGGCAGCCTGCTTTTATTCTCTTATCTGGCCCCACCCACATCCTGCTGATTGGTAGAGCCCAGTGGTCTGTTTTGACAGGGCGCTGACTGGTGCGTTTACAATCCCTGAGCTAGACACAAAGGTTCTCCACGTCCCCACTAGATTAGCTAGATACAGAGTGTCCATTGGTGCATTCACAAACTCTGAGCTAGACACAGGGTGCAGACTGGTGTGTTTACACACCTTGAGCTAGATACAGAGTGCCAATTGGTGTATTTACAATCCCTGAGCTAGACATTAAGGTTCTCCAAGACCCCACCAGAGTAGCTAGATACAGAGTGTCGATTGGTGCATTCACAAACCCTGAGCTAGATACAAGGTGCTGATTGGTGTATTTACAAACCTTGAGCTGGACATAAAGGTTCTCCATGTCCTCACCAGACTCAGGAGCCCAGCTGGCTTCACCCAGTGGATCCCTCACCGGGGCTGCAGGTGGAGCTGCCTGCCAGTCCCGCGCCGCGCGCCCGCACTCCTCAGCCCTTGGGTGGTCGATGGGACTGGGCGCCCTGGAGCAGGGGGCGGCGCTCATCCGGGAGGCTCGGGCAGCACAGGAGCCAACGGAGGGGGTGGGAGGCTCAGGCATGGCGGGCTGCAGGTCCCGAGCCCTGCCCTGAGGGAAGGCAGCTAAGGCCCAGCGAGAAATCGAACGCAGCGCCGGTGGGCTGTCACTGCTGGGGTACCCAGTACACCCTCCACAGTCGCTGGCCCGGAGGGTGTACTCCTCATTGCTCGGCCGCGGCGGGGCCAGCCGGCTGCTCCGAGTGCAGGGCCCGCCAAGCCCACGCCCACCCGGAACTCCAGCTGGCCGCAAGCGCCGCGCGCAGCGCCGGAAGCGCCGCGCGCAGCCCCGGTTCCCGCTGTCGCCTTTCCCTCCACACCTCCCTGCAAGCTGAGGGAGCCGGCTCCGGCCTTGGCCAGCCCAGAAAGGGGCTGCCACAGTGCAGCGGTGGGCTGAACGGCTCCTCAAGTGCCGCCAAAGTGAGAACCCAGGCAGAGGAGGCGCCGAGAGCGAGCGAGGGCTGTGAGGACTGCCAGCACGTTGTCACCTCTCAATATCTTTGATGAGTTCCAAAATTTTTAAATATTAAATATTTATAATACTTTAAGATTTATTTGAAAATGTTAATGAAACAAAGTGTAGAATCTGGATGCAATTCAAAAATGCCTCAAATATTTTATCTCACACCACATATGACATTAGTAAAATTATATTCATGACCTATACATCTTAAAAAACATTGAAACTTGCTTAGTTATAATTTAGCAAAAAAAAATTTTTTTAAAAACCTGTGAGATGGGCATTTAGCAAAAAAAAAAAATCTTGCTTAATTAATTTTGACCCCTTCTAAAAGTTCTTCTCACTCGTTTATCACTTATAATTTATATCTAAATAGTTAAATAATATATTTCATTTATAAATTGGAGAGATAATTATCTTAGCAAATTTCTTTAATTACACAATTGTATTTATCTTCAGTCATTGAGAGTTATGTAAGACTTAACTTCATATATTAGAGAAAAAAAGGAGTATTTACATCTTAAATTGTACAATATAACTTCTTTTTTTACCCATGTGATGTAGTTATGTTGATTAATACATTTGGTTGTAATTCCACATATTGTAAGTAACATTACATTTTTAGTAAGCCATTTCTTGCTGTGTAATCAACACTAATTCACTCTGGCTTCTAACGCTTATGCCCATATTTCCATGTTTGAAGGGTGACTATTGCTCTACTAGACTCATATATGATTGTCTTGACTTAATGTTAAGCTGCAAATTACATGCAAATCTCCTCCATATATTTCCTAACTCTCTTTAAATCATTGGTTACTATTCAGCTCCTCAAATCACTGTCTTTTGATGGCAGATCCAAAACAGCAAAAAGACAGGCCAACTTCCTGAATCATAGGTATAGCCTTTGCTTATATCTCACTTTACTCTCTTTTGACCACCGTAAGCCAGAGAGCAAATCCCAAATTTATGGAGCCAGAAAGGAGTGAATGTTTGTTGAGAAGTATCTCATTTTGTATCATACATATTATCTTCGCTGGGTCTGTTTCTTAGTATTAATGTGTACATGCATGTACACACACAACTATTATTACACTTAAAATTTACATAAACAGTTAAATTTTGGATTGATACTCATAATTAAAATACTATTTGTATACTTAATGACAACTCTTGGATTTAGGATTAGTATCAATCAATAAACCATCTGGTAACAAAATTTCCAAAAAAAAAAAAACAAATCTAAAGTTATGTCTTTTTTGTCAAAGTTTTTAAAAACAATTTAAAAAGAGAAATTAAAAAACTATAGTGAGAGTCTTCCAGTTACAGCTTTGATGTGTAGAAAACTTGGAAGTCATTACTCCTGCCTTTCTTTTTGTTTTGTTTTGTTTTTGACATGTAGTCTCATTCATTTCACTCACTCTGTTGCCCAGGCTAGAGTGTGCTGGCGCCATCTTGGCTCACTGCAATCTCTGCCTCCGGAATTCAAGTGATTCTCCTGCCTCAGCCTCCTGAGTAGCTGGGATTGCATGTGTGCCACCGTGCTTGGCTGATTTTGTATTTTTAGTAGAGATGGGCTTTCACCATGTTTACCAGGCTGCTCTGTAACTCCTGACCTCAGGTGATCCACCCGCCTCAGCCTCCCAAAGTGCTGGGATTACAGGTATGAGCCACTGCTTCCGGCCCCTATCAAGAAGAAGAAGAAGAAGGAGGAGGAGTGGGAGGGGAAGGGGGAGGAAGGGAAGGAGGAAAGAAGAGGAAGAGAAAGAAGGGGAAGGGGAAGGAGAGGAGGAGGAAGAGGAGGAAGAAAAGACACTAAAGAGTAGTGATCATCTTTAGATCAAGTAAAGAACTGAGGTCCAAGTTATCTCTGATTGCTGAGCTGAGAGAAAGATATTTTTTCCACTCCAGCCTCCATTGGCTTTTCTGTCTCACCTAAGAGGGAAAAGCATATAGTTTGCAGGGTCAGGGCTTAAAGGAAATATATTGGGAATGCTGTAGCCAGGGAACATAGTAGATTATAAAGGTTGAAAAAAGAACAATACTACTTTATAAACATTTGTGAAGGTAACAGCCTGAGACATAGGCACACAAAATATTGAGATTTAATTAAAAGATTAAAGAGAGCTCATCATTCTTCACACTTTGTTGTACAACAGCCAAACTCAGTATAACAGTGTATTAAATTTGAAGGATCTAAACTTCACAGACTATCTCTGAGCAGGAGTATGTAGAAAAACCAAAGTCAAGAATAGAGAAAAATATCAAAAAACTGGGAAGAAATGGAGCCTCTGGCACTTATAGATAGAGCAAAAATTTTTTAAAGCTTAATTTTTAGTCATATTAATTAAATACTCACACATGGTTCTATCTACCTTATTTCTCATTACTTGATGGAAGGTGTACAACTTTCAACATCAAATGATAAGGCACGCCAAATTCAATTGAAAACCCAATCATCAGAATAAAACTAAAAAATAGCAGAAATGTTGGAATTATCAGACAGCGAATGTAGAAATAGCAATAATTACTATGTTAAAGGCTCTATTTAAAACATTACAAAATGCAGTAACATACAGTCATTGTAAGCACAGAAATAGAATTTTAAGTAACAGCCAAAATTAAATTTTATAAATTAAATATAAAAAGATTATAAATAAATAAATTTTCTTATGAAATATTGGGATGTCTTGACATGGATAAAAAAGGAATTGGTGAGCTTAAAATATAGGTCAAGATAGGTCAGCTTCCCAAATTAAAGAGCAAAAAGAAAAAGAATGAAAAAACTAAGTAAATTTAAAACAAGCAGAATATCCAAGAACTGTGAGAAAATTTGAAAACATGTTGCATACAGTTAATTAAAAAACAAGAAATGAATGACAGCAATATTATAAGAGATAAAAGGGGGGAATTAGGTATACATGGTTATGTTACTTGTATTACATGTGAAGGGCTACGGTGTTATTTTACAATGGACTTACATTACTTTTAATGGTTATTAAAAGTTTTAGAGCAATCATGGAAACATAAAAGGAATTAGTATGTTAAAAGAAGAAATCAAATGAATCATATAAAATGCTCAAAGAAAAAGAGGAAAGAATGAAGGAAAAAATGTACCAAATAAGAAACAATTACAGATATGGTAATATTAATTCATAATCACTTTAAGGGTAAATTTATAAATTCACTAATTGAAATACAGATATTATCAAAGTAGATTAAAATATAAAATAAAACAAAAAATACAAATTTTATTTAAGTAACTCACTATAATATAAAGACTCATGTAAATTAAAAGTAAAGAGATAGAGAAACATATATTATACAAACAGACACACACAAAAATCCTGGAATAGATATATGAACCTCAGACAAAAAAATTTACAAGAAAGATTATTCATAATAAAAGGAGCAATACATAATTATAAAGATGTTAATTCTTCAAGAAGTAATACCAGTACTATAAATGTATCCACCTAACAAAATAATATCAAAATATGAGACAAAAAGGTAATAAGACCGAAATAAATGTAAACAAATACACTATTTTAGTTCAAAAACTTATTACCCCTGTATTACTTACTGACAGATAAATATAGAAGTAAATCTATAAGGATACTAGTGGCCTGATCAGCACTATCAATCAATTTAATGCAATCAAAATTTATAGAATGCTCCATCCAACAACAACAGCACATGTATTCTTCTCAAGTTCACATGGAACATATAATGATAGACAACATTGTGGGCCCTCCCATACATTAACACATTTCAAAAAACAGAAATAATATAAAGTGTATTTTCATACTACAATAAAAATAAAAATATATAAGGGCTATACTCAAATATTTGGAAATTTAATGATGCACAGTTAAAGTATAGAAAGAAGAAACAGTGATGGAAGAAGTTACTGAGGAGATATCAAAAAGGTCAAAGGAAAATGGAATTAAAAGGTACAAATAAAAAATATAAACTGTATTTCTAAACCTAAGTTTCATTAAGTTCAATGTAATCTGTAAGCAATGATACCAGACCAATTTAGTCCATACCAAAAGAACTGAGGATCCTGGGAATTTAATCATGTCAATTCAGGCTTTTATACATTATTAACTAAAAAAAAAAAAAATTGCATGCCCGTGAAACAATTTTTTTACAATTAGAAAACAGAAGTAAGTCAGAAGGAGCCAAATCAGGACCTTAAGGTAGATTTCTTACGATTTTTCTTCAAAATGCTCACAAAATTGCCCTTGTTTGAGGAGAATCAACAGAAGCATTGTTGTGGTGGAGAAAGACCGGTGAAGCTTTCCCAGGAAGTTTTCTGATAAACTTTGGTTAACTTTCTCAAAACACTTTTATAATAAGCAGATGTTGTTGTTCTTTGGGCCTCAAGAAAGTAAACAAGCAGAATTCCTTGACCATCCCAAGAAACTTTTGCCAGGATACTTCCTCTTAACCAGTCCACATTTGCTTTGACCGGACCACTTCCACCTCTTGGTAACCATTGCTTTGATTGTGCTTTGTCTTCAGGATTGTACTGGGAAAGCCATGTTTCATCTCCTGTGGAAATTCTGCAAAGAAAAATTTCAGGACCATGATCCTATTTGTTTAAAATTCCATTGAAAGCTACATTCTGGTCTGCAGCCAATTTGGGCACAATGGTTTTAGCACCCTTTGAGTGGAAAGTTTGTTCAGCTTTAATTTTTTCACCAGAATAGTGTAAGCCTAAACAATTGAAATGTCTATGGTGTTGGCTATTGTTACTGCTTTTAATTATTGATTGTCAATTAGTGCAAGAAAAATATTTTTGTCATAAATTCATTTGAATGGTCTACACTGCAGGCTTTCTCTTTAACATTGTCTTGTCCCTTCTTGAAATGAGTTAACTGTTGATTTATTTGGGACACTCCCCATCAACTTTTTGTAAAGCATCAATGATTTTACCATTTTTCTATCCAAGCTTAATCATAAATTTGATGTTCTTGTTTCAATGTTAGCAGAATTAGTGTTGCTCTGATAGTACTTCATTTAAAACTGGTGTCTTATAGTGCCTCAAATTGGATTCTGTTCAAACGTGTTATAACAAGTTAGTACCAGATTATTTTGGTGCAAAAGAAATTTAAAGCCATGAATAGTTTTTTTTATAATACATATTTTTCATAAATGTTTGAAGACCCCCTCATATTTTACAGTACTTTTTATATGTTAAGATATAAAAAACACAAAAATCATTGTGTTACAATTAACTAAAGTATTTAGTGCAGTAGCATTTTATACACATAGGTATCATAGGAAAAATAGGATATATCATATAACTTCTACAGACAAGAGCAGAGACTCCATCTAGGTTTGCGTAGGCACTTCTCTGATATTTGCATAGTGACAAGATTGTTTAATGATGTATTTCTCAGAAAGTAGCTTCCTTGGTAAATGATGAGTGGCTGTACTTTAGACTTAAATTCCTATTCTTACTCTCATTACTTAAGGTAGTAGAAGCTTAGTTAATTTATTTTATATCTCTCTTTTATAATACATGCATTTAATACAATAACATTTACTAAGCATAATTTATCTGTATTCCACAAATTTTGCTAAGTTGTATTTTCCTTTAACTCAAATATGCATATGGTATAAAAGATAAAAAGTGGTACACCTGAATAAGGCATTTATCATGAATGAAGCTCATAGTTCTGGAAGTTACCCTTGGGAAGTCAGTGAGTGAGTGAATGATGAGTGAATGTGAATCACTCCACTATATTAATAGAATAAGATCATATGGTAGTTCATATAACAGTAACAATTGCTGCAGAAAAGTATTTGAAAAAATTCCAACTCTTATAATTAAAACAAAAAAATAACATTTTATAAACTAGCAATAAAGGTGGAATTCCCATAAATTGATAATGAACATCTACAAAAAACGTACATCTAACACCATTTCTAATGGACAAAGACTAGACCTTTTCTCCTACTGGAAAATATGCGAATATGTCATGTCTCATTACTCTGTGTCATTATTGTACTCAAATACCTAGATAATGAAGTAAAATAATTTAATAATGCAAATTAGAAAAGGAGAAGTAAAACTAAATTTATTTGCAGATGACAATTATCTATGGATAAAATTTCAAAATAATATACCAAAAATGTCTGGTACTGTTATAATAAGCAGGTATAGCAATGTCACAAGATGTACTACTGTTTACATAATGGTAATGAATAATATAATTGGAAATGAAAGTACCACCACCAATAAAAGAATACAGTAGTACGCATAAATCTAATAAAATATTTAAAGAGCATCTGTGCAGAAAACTACAAATGAATCATGAAATAAAGAAAAAATAGACTTAAATAAAGATATATTTCAAGTTCTTGAATAAGAAGACTCAATATTGCTTAGATGTCAGTTCTTCCTAACTTGATATATAAGTTCAAGACAGTACAAATTATAATCACAACAGGCCTATTTTGTAGATGTGGACAAGTGGATTCTAAGGTTTACATGGAAAAGGAAAAGTCTCAGATTAATAAAAAAAAAATGAAACTCAAAATTGGAAGACTCATATTACCAGCTTTAAGAAAATATAAAGCTAGAGTAATCAAGACTATTTTTAACTAATAGTGCTGGTGCAATTGAATGCTAATATGCAAAAGGAAACAAAACAAACAGACACAGATCTAAAGACCTTGCATATTACATAAAACTAAACTAAAAATACACAATCATTTATATGTAAAATGCAAGATTAAAATACTCTAGAAGAAAACATTTTAAAATTATTTGTGATCTTGGGTTTGATGATGAGTACTGATATGGTTTAACAGTATCCCCATCCAAATCTTAACTTGAATTTTATGTCCCAGAATTCCCAAGTGTTGTAAGAGAGACCCAGTGGGAGGTAATTGAATCATGGGAGCCAGCCTTTCCCATGCTATTGTCATGATAG